>NC_000006.12:97798062-97949577 GCF_000001405.40 Homo sapiens | reverse complement strand
CCGCTGCACTCCAACCTAAGAGAGAGAGTGAGACTCTGTCTCAAAAAATAAATAAATAAATAAAACAAGAAGAGTGAAAATAACACACACACACACACACACACCATACAGCAAAACAGCATAAACATCAGTGTGTGTTTCATTTATGTGCCTTTCTAGAGACCCTAAGAAGTTTGATTCACTCTATTTTGAAGAAATCTCTTTCAAATTGATTAGCTACTTATGGAAGAGCACAAGAATTAAGAATGATTAAAGTAGGTTACCTTGAGAACAAATAGATATCTACAAGAATTTCCTTTGAATCTGGAGACCCAATATGACATTCCTAGTGAACCTGAAGACAGTTGATCAGACCAATAAATATCTAGTCAGTTCTGGACATGTGCTATTGGCTTATATACCATAATGTCTTACTTTCCAACAATGCTTTATATAATATTCTTTTTTTTCTCCGTATTGATTGTCTTCCCAGCTCTGCAATTGCTAGTTCATTCTGGTTTGTATTTACTGAAAGAGGTACCGCTAGAGTGGGCTTTCTTTCAGAAAGTCTTATCATCTCTGGTCACAGTAAACTCATTAACAGTTTCAATTTAATTATGATCTGAAGGGGTCTTTATGGTTTGTGTACTACAGCTGGTATTTCTGTTTGCTGTTACTGGTTTCCACAACTACTAAATGTGCCAATTAAAGCAGTTAAGGGATATATAAGTAATATTATAAATTAAGCATCAAAACATAAAATATTATGCCTATAATAAGTGAATATCTTAGGGGAAAATGAGAAGTATATTTTGAGGGCAACATTACCAGGAAAACACATTTCAATATTATTTTGTTTACTTTAGAGTTGTCAGTCATTAAAATTCACTAATTATTATAAAAATCATTTACCAGTCCAACCAGCCTCCTAAGATTTTCACTGGGGAAAAGAAAAATTACCATCTGCAAGCTCCTATGATACGGAAATCTCATTTGCAAAGCAACACAAGAAATGTTTATTTGGTGGGACTGATTAAAAGCACTATTAAATATT
This sequence comes from Homo sapiens, assembly GCF_000001405.40. Classification (NCBI taxonomy): domain Eukaryota; kingdom Metazoa; phylum Chordata; class Mammalia; order Primates; family Hominidae; genus Homo; species Homo sapiens. The sequence goes on along the minus strand of NC_000006.12, from coordinate 97,948,544 downwards.
CATCAATTCCTCCATTTCCTTCCTTCCTCTTCTTTTATTCTGCTAGCAATACTGACAGATAAGGTCCTATAGTCTAACACTTACATAATCAAATGCAAACACCTAATATCATAACCAAAGAGAAAGGCATTCAGAAAGCTGGAAAAGAGACCAACAGCTTGATTTCTTTTTTTAATTCTTTATGGATAAGGTGCTACAAAAAATGAAAGATATATTTCATAATGGAGCATTTTCTTTGTTTAAACAGGCAATATTTATTCCCTCAAGTATTAAATTTTGGATTATTTTATTTTTGTTTAATTTTTTTTCTATCAACTTGACAGCCGACACTGAGATCATAGAGGTGTGACTAAGGAATTACATCTTCAGTTTCCTTCCAACAAGGTGACCACTTGGCAAGAACTCCAATTCTCAGAAACTGTGACTCATACCCTGATCAAGCGCATTAAAGGTCATCTAAGTAATGCCAGGAAAGAATGTGGCTCCCTGCCAAGGCTTCTCTTCCCAGCTCATAAGTAGAAACAACGTTCATGTTTCCAAATAGTACAATGCAGTTTTATTTACAAACTTCAGAGTTTTAGCCAGTCATAGGGTTGACATTGCAAATGAAGTATTCTGAACTAGTGCTGCAGTGCTTGGAACATTATGACATTGAGGTTTGTGACAGACACAGCACTGATATCAGATGTGCATCTGGTTTGACATAGGGCTAGAAGCAAAAAAAAAATATTATTTTATAGAATAATCGTATTTGAATGCTTATTGTAACATTTCCTGAAGTGATTGACAAGAGTAGAATATCATTAACAGAGTTCTACAATTAAACATGGCAACACTCTTGAAAAGAACATTGGCTTTTGTCATAATTCCATTAAGTACACCCAATTTAATGACTGATGAATGGCACTTTACTGTCTTCCTATCTTTAAATTTTAGCAACATGGTGAGATTGAACTTTTGAACTTGCGTCCACATGCATCTCTTATTGAAGAGTCCTGTGTTCTTATTTTAAATAGGTGTCTACAACAGTGTTATAAGGGGGAAAGAGAAATATTGTTGACTACTTGAAGTAAAAGTTCATCCTCGGTGACAGCTGACTTCACCTTCTGAAAATGTGGTATTTGAGTTATAGAAAGGCTCTAGTAGGAAAAATAAGTAGAAACAATAGAGAGATGGTTGTCATTCAGAAGATTACAAATGTGACTAAAATAATCTATATTCAGCCACTTTAAAGGTTCAGTATGCCTTGTCCAGTCCCTTTTATCATCTTCCTTTTTTATTTGTCTTGTTGCAATTGTCCTACTTTTCCTGGCAAATTATTCTGAATGTTGAAAGTCACTACAGATCTGCAAAGACTCTAAAGTCATTCCTTCTTTGGATTTTATTGTAAATGAAATAATTGGTGTAAATGCCTCCTTTCTTTTTATTTTCCATGCACCACTTACTCCCTTGATCTTATCTTCTTCAGAATATTTTTAAAGCAAATCTCTAATTCTGGTTAAGTTTATTTCTCCACCTATTCTATACTTGCAGCCATGCTAAATGTAGCTGGGAAAAAAAGGCACCACAACAACACAGACTATGTTTGATTCAATTTAAATTCAAGACTATGAACTTTAAAGGAATCCATACTGGTGGTAAGAAGTCTTTGTACACTTTACTTGTATATACAGTAGTCCACTTTCCTAGGTTACTATTCTGTAATTCTCTTTTCTTAAACTTCTAACCTCTTCTTGCCCATCTCTGCTTTCAACCAAAGACTGTGTTTCTATTTCACTGAGAAAAGAGAAGCACACAGAAGATAATTTCTTCAAGCTCTCACTACTGTATCTTCTCAGCCACCATGATCTGTACTCACGTATTTGCCTCCCTTTCTGTTGCAACAGATGGATTCTTTGAGTTTCTAAGGCCATTGCTTCCACTTCTGCAATAGATCTCAGCAATTCTTGTCTGCATGGGTACATTGCTTCAGGGATTTCCCCCCTTTTTATCTGTTTCATCAATTTTTCTTTTTCCTTTCAGCCATGCAAACATGCTGCTGTGTCTTCCATTATAAAAAAAAGCATAAATTTTTCTTAGCCCTATGTTTGGCTCCAATTGCTTTTCCTAATATGTAGCAAAAATTCTCAAAAGCTTTGTTTGCAATCCTTCTCTAATTTCTCTTCTCCATTTTCTCTTAAGCCCATTCCAGTGAGGTTTTCCCCCATCACTCTACTAAAATCATTCTTGTGGGTCATGAATAATGTCCACAATGCCAAATCTAGTGGTCAATTCTAAATCCTCATCTATTTTACCCATCAGAAACTTTTAATCCACTCTCTGCTCTTGGTTTTCCTCCTGCCTCAGTGATGGCTGCTTCTCAATCTACTGGTTGCCCTCCTTCTTCCGAACATCTTGAGCATTACAGAGCTCAGTCCTTTCTTCCTGCTACGAAGCCACATTCCTTTTCTTGGAGATTTCATTCAGTTTCTTTCACAATCTCATCCAGGCTTTAAATACCATCTATATGCAGATGACTGTCATATTATACCTCTAGATCAGACTTCTTTCATGAACCTCAGACTCTTCTATCCAACTATTTATGTAGCATCTTCACTTTGATATCTATTAAACATCTCAAATTTAAAATGTCCTAAACTGACTCCTGATATTTTCCCCCAAATATGCTTTACTTACAATCTTTCTATCTTAATTTATGACAACTCCATCCTTCTCATTGCACAGGGCAGATACTGGAAGACAATCTCAACTCTCCTCCTTATTTTACGTGCCAAATCCAATTATGAGAAAATCCTGATTTTTCTCTCCTAGACCAGCCTCACCACTGATCTCCCTGACTCTTTCCTTATCTCTTTACAGCCTCGTTCCAACACAGCACCCAAAGCAATTCTCTTAAAAGTATTGTTAAATCTGTCACTCTCCTGCTCACACTCTAATGTGTTTACATTTATTCCCTAATAAGAGCCAATAGCCTTACAAAGTCCTGTATGACCTAGTCCTGTACCTCTCTAACTTCATTTCCTCCTAGGTTTTCTTGATTGCTGTGTTCCAGCATCGCTGGTCACACTGCTGCTCCTTACACTGTTGCCATGCCCCAATCTTAGAGCCTTGGCTCTATTCTTCCCACTGCCTGCAAGAATCAATCCCTTGGTATTGACTGGTTCCTTCAGCTCATTCAAAAATTTGCTCAAATGACACCTTCATCTCCTTTGGATATTTGCTCAATGAGCTCTACCCTGATGTCCTTATTTAAAATTGAAAACTGCCTTTCTCCTTATCTCCTTATCCCACAACCCTGCTTCACTTTTGCTTTTTTTTCATAGAATGTATTATCTAATATACTTTCACTTTAATGTTGTTCATTATTATTACATTATTACCATTATTAATGTGTTAGAATGTAATCTTCAGGAAAGAGAAGAGATTTTTGCTTATTTTTCTGTATTACAGTTTGGCAGTAAATTCTTGATATATATATTTGTTGAATGAACACCTGATACATATTTGTAATCTGAGAAAGTATTTCAAAATTAAATTCAAGGAAATTAAAGGATATAACTGGAAATGGAAAAACACTAAAGGTCTGAAAATATTTTTAGAAGAGTTCAAAAAGGAATGAAAGAAAAATGAGAGAAAACAAAAATGGAAAGAAATTGAAGTTTAGGAACAAATAACTGTAGAATTGTCTAAAAAGATAAGATGGTTTGCAAGTTGATACTGTAACTTTAGAGTTAGATAAACTAATTTCAGGCCGGAAATAATTTTTTTAAATATTATTTTCTATTAATATAGATAATTAATATGTTAATGCAGATTATATAAATATATAATATATAAGTATCAATGTTAATACATGTTAATACATAAATAATAGATTAATATATTATATATAGTATATATATATATATAATACATATATACAATTGCCCTGTCTTATTCTTCATTAATGTTGTGCCCAAGTGAATATAAAGACAACCAACAAACTGGCTTGCAGTACTATCCATTCCTCTTTAATTATCTCATAAAATGCACTTTGAAGTTCTCATTTCCCTATGTCCTTGGAAATGATACTTTCTAAGGGTCAAATTCTGTAAATTTCTTACTCACAATATTCAGAATATACACCTGCTTCTCTTGATGAGTTTGATTTCTGTCTTGCCTGGTTACCTAACTGACACTTTGATGGAAAAGACATCCTTTCATTTCTAACTACACTAGTCAGAAAACTGCTATTGCCTTTAAACACTTGGAAACCATAACTAATAATTTATGGTCAGGATTACCTGTGGCCCTAATGTATTCCCCCCACAGTACATACATGTGTGTGTGTGTGTATATATATAAAATATATATAATTACTGTGTGTGAGTGTATAAGTTTGTGTGTGTATACATGCATTATTTACCAAATACATTATGTACCAAATGCATCGTTTATCAAATATATTATGTACCAAATACATTATGACCATTGAGGTTTATTCCAGGCATACAAGGTTGGTTCAACATTCAAAATTCAGTCAGTGTTTTAAACATCAGCCAATATCAATAGACTGAAAAAGAAACATAGAATCATCTCAGTAGATGGTGGAAGTAATTGGTGAATGGATCTTTCACTCTGAGGGAAGCCGCTATCTCTACAGAGAGGCCCTCTTAGCAAGGAACTGGTATCCTGCTCAGTATCCTTTGAAGACCTAAGTCCTGCTAATAGCCAGGCTTGGAAGCAGATCTTCCCTTGTTTGAGTCTTGACTGAAGCCCTAGCCAAAACTTTGATTGCAGGTTTGTAAAAGGCTTTAGCCAAGCTATGCAGTAAAGCTGCTTCTGGGTCCCTGACCCACAAAAAATGTGAGCTAAGAAATATTTAATGTTTGCAGCCACTAAATTTTGTGGTAATCTGTTACACAACCACAGATAAATAATACAACACAGATGCTTAGTTGATATGTGACAAGTGTCAAGATATTTTAATGGAGAAATATGTTTTTTTCTGTAAATCATGTCAGGACAACTGGACACCTGACAGAAAATGAACCTACATACTCACCTCACACCGTATGAAACAAAACTAAAAATAGACCCTAGACCTAAATGTAAAGACTAAAACACTAAAACATTTAATCTAAAAGCAAACATACCCAAAAAGTTATCATTGTGACTTTGGGTTATCTTAAGCAGAATATAGAAAGCAAGCATAAAGGAAACATTGGAGAAATTGGACTTCTTAAAATTAAAAACATCTGCTCTTTGAAAAACAGTGTTACAAAATGAAAAGAAAACAAACAAACAAAAAAAAAAAAAACACAAAAAAAACCCAGCAAGTACAGACTTGGGAGAAATACTGGCAAAACACTTACGGAATAAAGGACTGGTATCCAGAAAAACTCCTCAACTCAAAAATAAGGAAACTAACAATATAATATTTTTAAAGGGGAGAAATTTGAACAGACACTTCTTTTGAGACGGAGTCTTGCTCTGTTGCCCAGGCTGAAATGCAGTGGCACAATCTCGGCTCACTGCAACCTCTGCCTCCTGGATTCAAGCCATTCTCCTGCTGCCTCAGCCTCCTGAGTAGCTGGGACTACAGGCGTGTGCCACCATGCCCAGCTAATTTTTGTATTTTTAGTAGAGATGGGGTTTCACTATGTTGGCCAGGCTGGTCTCAAACTCCTGACCTCGTGATCCACCCATTTCGGCCTCCCAAAGTGCTGGGATTACAGGCTTGAGCCACAGTGTCTGGCCTAACAGACACTTCTATTCAGAGGTACAGGTAGTAAATAAGTACATGGACAGATTCTCATCATCATTAGTCTTTATAGAAATGCAAAGCGAAGCCAAAAATAAATATTACTACCCACGTAAAATGGCTGAACAAACAAACAACCTGACAATATCAAGTCCTGACAAGGATGAGGAATAACAGCAACTCTCACATATTGCTGGTGAAAATGAAAAATATTATAGGCATCTTAGCTAACTATAAAACCCAGTAATGTCACTCCTAGTTATTTAACCAATAAGATGAAAACATTTGTCCACATAAAGACCTGTAATAACTGTATATAATAATTTATTTATAATTGCCAAAACATAGAAACAACCCAATTATCCAACTGGTCAATGGATAAAAGAAATTCTGGTTCATCTTTGTAACAGAGTACTATTGAACAATAAAAAGAATTAGCTGCTGAAATATGCACAACATGGATGAATTTAAAAATCACTACCAAACCCTGCATACTGAATGACCCTATTTATATTCCATAATGGAAAAAATTAAGGAATAGGAAGAGAAGTCAGATAAGTGGTTGCCAGGGGGTTGGCAATTGCCTACAAGGGGAATAAGTTCACTTTTTGGCAGTAACAAAAACATTCTATATCTTCATTGTGGTGGTGGTTATGAAACTACTTAGGTTTAATGAAACTCATCCAAGTATATACCTATAAATGGTGACTCTTACTGTATGTAAAGTAACATAATAACTCTGAAATAAACAAGGAACTAAAGAAGTAAAATAAATAGATATAAGCAATAAAACAACAAACATAAAGATAAAATAATAGAAAAATGTGAAATTTGGATATGCAAAAATAAAAAATGTTTTATGTCATATACATTTTAAATACATTTTTTAAAGACTGAGAAAAATATTTGTAACATATAAAAATGCATTAATATCTTAAATATATAGAGAACGTCTGAAAATCATTGCAAACCAGGAAAACAACCCAAAGAAAAATGACCAAACAGTAAGAACAGCCATCATAGAGAAAACATTCAAACAGCCAAAGCATTTCCAGAAAAATCCTAAGATCATAGGTAATCAGAGAAATGAAAAAATATATAATTATGAGGCATAATTTTTCACCCATTTTGTTGGCAAATTTAATAGTTTTGATAAGACCTAATGTGGCTGAAAGCAAAAATGTTTTAGTAAAAAATCATGGCTCTTCTATTTGTCAGTATAAATTAGCCCAGACTGCTTAGCAGACAATTTGGCTGTATGTATCAACATTGCAGACATATATCTTTGAATCAGTGACATCAAGTCTAGATATCTATTATAGAGAAATACTTGTACAGGGATGAAAACAATAAAATATTTTCTTTCAGTTTTACGTGTAATAGCAAAATACTAAACATTTAAATTATCTCTCTCTACATATGTAAATGATTAAAACTTTATAACTCTATACCATGGATTCACTTATATTCTTTAAAAGAATATTGTGTGTGTGTATATATAGTATGAAAAAGTTGCCCAAGATATACCACTACTGCAAATAAAAGCAAGTTACAGAATAATATGCACATCATCCAATTTTTAAACTATGTGTTTATGTATATATACTTATAGCTATGCAGAGATGGAGATTATATATAAGGTATATAAATAAATGTCCATAGACTACGTTTTCAAGAGCTGCACGCCAAACTAATAACAATGGTTACCCAAATGCAGAGCGGGATTTGGAAAGAGTATTTGGAATATGGATTTTCTTTTTTTCTCTATGTTTCTATATAATTTTACATATTTTCAGTGGTTACCTAAATGCAGAGAAGTGAGATTTAGAGAGAGGAATTTGGAAGAAGAAATTTTTTTTCTATATTTTTATATCACTTTAAAAATTTTTAAAACAATCGAGTGTTTCCTTATTTCTAATAAAATAATTAACAGATAAATAAGACACAGTCCTTAACTTCAAGGAGCTCACATTCTAAGGTAAGAGGAGACATGCAACCCAACCAACAGTTGAAATGCATTGTGACGTGTTCCTTGAAAACAGTGGATACCAAACTTCCATAGAATCATAGAGGAAGGAAGATGTTATGCTTCCTGGAAAAACTGGGGATGGTTTCACATAGGAAATACATTTTATAAAAAAGTATAGTTCATCTGTGGGAAAGAAAGGGAAAGTTATTCTAGAAAGAGACAATTATATATAGTAAATGAGCATACTCTTTGAAATCAGATAACATGTGTTTAGACACAGACTACTTTTACTAGCAGACCCATTTTAAGAGACTACCTAACTTTCAAAGCCGTAAGTGTAAAATGGGAATGATATGACCATCTTTGGCAACCTGAGGAATGATGGTATCATTAATATAATAAGCAGAGCATAAACCAGGAAGATTGGGTTTCAGGATGACCATATGAGCTTAGTTTTTAATGTGTCAAATTAAAGATTGTGAAGATTAGAAGAGTTGAGACTGAGGATAAGGAATAACAAATCGCGAACATACAGGATATATGAAATCATGGCAGTGGATTAACTGCCCATGAAAATTGTGTTGGCTGAGAAGAGGCCAAAGTGTGATCCATGGACCAGCAAAAAATGGCATCACTTGGGAGCTAGTTTAAAAAGCAGAATCTTGGTCCTCACCTCTAATTCAGATCTGATGAATTAGAGTCTACCTGTTAACCTCCCCCGAGTAATGTATATGCACAGTGAAGTAGTAAGCACTGCTCCAGAAAACACCAGATACTGTCTGTCAATTTGAGAAGAAGGGGTCAGCATGCAAGACAGAGATGTAAACTAAGCAACAGACTGCATATTGCATGATATTTATAGACCACATAGTGAGAAGGGCCATGGAAACCCTTCAAGGACTTACTTTTTTTTCTAAGATAAAAATCCTGATGGTGTTGAATACCATTCTTTTCTCCTCGTCCACTCTAATCATGTTTATTATGCTCCTAACACCTTCCATTATCCTTTCCACAGCTCATTATTTTAGTAGAAATCGTGCTGCTCTCTTCACATTGAAAATGATATTGTTTCTGTGGCACCAGCAACAACTTTGTGTTCATTCATATACACACATTAAGGAATGGATTATCATTAATTATGCACTAAAATGTTCTTGGCAACAGAGTAAGTGACAAAACATTTGCTTTTGTCAGAGTTCTATTAGGTGAACCCAAGTTGAACCACAGAGAAATATGACACTTTTCTTTATTTTAATTTGTATCACCAGGTCAGGATCATGACAGTGACTCTGTTTTGCACATTATTTTCTCTATCATTGTAATGATGTTAATGGAATTCTTTTAACTAAGCTGTTTTTAATCAGGTCTACAACCTATTTATTGCATATTCAGAAGAAATTTCATGTTAACATAATTTAATCTACTGAAGGTTCAATTCTGTAATAAAAATATGGTTTTCTGAAGAACATTGTTTAAAAGAGTTCAAATGATGCTATATTTTTACTATTTAAAGCTAATTCAAGCAGAATTGGAATAAAGAAAATTATAACAATATATCAACCTAGTTCCAATTATAGACTCAAGAAACACTTTTTATTAATTAATAGCATAAGTCACAAGTTACATTTTACTGTAGAAATGATTGGAAACATAGAGCTTACTGTTAGAGTATGCATAAAAAGAAGAACCTTACAAGGAAAATTTTTCCAAAGGTTAATCCAATGCTAGTTTCAATGCTAATGTAAATTACATTATACAATTTCTATTGATGATTAACTCCAGGTCATAAGTAATTTCAAACATCCTCAGCATTAGTTTCTGGTACACAGTATACTCAATAATTGGTACATTGTACCTACCCCATTGTTGCTTATGTAAAATTACTCGAATTAAGAGATGAGGCCAGGCGCGGTGGCACACGCCTGTAATCCCAGCATTTTGGGAGACCGAGGCGCGCGGATCACGAGGTCAGGAGATCAAGACCATCCTGGCTAACACGGTGAAACCCCGTCTCTACTAAAAATACAAAAAATTAGCCGGGCGAGGTGGCGGGCTCCTGTAGTCCCAGCTACTGGGGAGGCTGAGGCAGGAAAATGGCGTGAACCCCAGGGGCGGAGCCTGCAGTGAGCCGAGATCGCGCCAGGGCACTCCAGCCTGGGCAACAGCAAGACTCCGTCTCAAAAAAAAAAAAAAAAAAAAAAAAAAAAGAGAGATGAGTGAATGGAGAACCAAGATACTGTTTGCTATACCAGCATTGCTATAAGTAAACTAAAATTTAGTTTCTGATAGGTACCATAAATAGAAAAAATGCTTGATTCTTTTGTTCATTTTACAGAGATAAGCTATACTAACACTGAGGAGAAAAGGGCTTTCCATTTATTCTATAGTCACTCAGTCTCTACAATGTGCTATAAAAGAGTATAAATGAAAATAGTGCTATGGTATATTGCTATTCAGTCACTTTTTTGTTATTTTGTTTGTAAGGTATATTGATTAGGTTTTTTCAATAAGTTAAAATTGTGCAGATTTCTTGGAGTCTATCATACGGACAGAAATGAGACTAAAACCAGATTTCCTGAATCTGAATAAAAGATTCCTCTACAATTTATAAAGTCCTATTTATTAAACTCCTGTTTTTGATTGGATTGATATATAGATTTTTTTCACAGGCACCTTATATGAGAGTAGTAAAACAGGGGCTTTTTTTTTCTTTAAAATGTCTGTTTTCTGCTTATCCACAATGAATCTCTTGAGTTCAATGAGCCCAGGTAGAAAAAGATATTGGGTAAATTCCCTGTATATAGAAAACCTGGCATTAGCTATGCTGACATTTCTGAGAATCTTCATCATAAGAAAATCTTCATCATAGCCAACTAAACAAACAACTATCAAAAATACAAATATCATACACACACACACACCACATACACACAAGTATCTTATAAAGTGGCTATATGGTAGATTATAATGCATCTGTGCACTTGCTTAACTTGATTTCTTTCTCTCGTAGGATATTTCTTTCATATCGTAATATGAGAGGAGCTGCCAGACTTTCCATTACAGTAACAAGTTCAACATGTTAACATAGAAACAATCACTGATAAAGAAGCTATGTTGGAGGGATGATTCCTATTAGAGTAATAAATGACTTAGATTTTCATACAAGTGTCAAATCTATCAACAAATAAGGAAGGATTCTATTATCAATGTGTTCTCATTGCAGATTTATAAGTGACTAACTAAAACGACAAGAAGTTGAGTTTGTGCCAACCCCAGACTGGCCAAAGTCAAAACTGTGGAGCTGTGAATTTGTTATTTTCCTCTGACACCACCTTCTTTCACTTGGACATATGCCCCTGCTTTTCATTAACCCTAGGACCTCTTCGTAGCTCTTATTTCTCAGGATTCTCTCTGGTGGTCAAATGGAGATTCGCTTCCTCAGCATCATAAGGCACCACTAGTCCTTTACCCCTGCCCAACCTTGCCACCCACGTCCAATCAACAAGTACTGTACCTAACACTCACACTCATAGAATCAAGCTTTATTCTTGTATGAATATTGGTGTAAAAGAATTTATATTTTATATTTCTTATATTACTTCTTTTGAATATTAAAACAGTATTTTCTCAGAGTTTTTAAATGCCCTTACCTAAATGCAGAGAATATTTCAGCATTTCTCAAACTAAGTTGTGAGACTAGCATCTACAATAGCTGTATAGGAATGTACTCCACTTGTGAGAATGAGGCACATAGAAAATTATAAATTATTTTAGCAATAATCTCTAGCTATAATTTCACACATGTTGATCTTGTTTACCTACCAAGGACAGGAATATTTTAGAATTTCTTCATTTCTTCCTGTATTCAGACAAGTACAAGCCCAAATGAGCATCAGGGGGTTTTATGTAACTTTCTTAATTATGCTACAGGAGGCATATCCATTGTATCTGTTTAATTTAGCTAGTTATAGCACTGAGTTAGGGTGACAGGTTCTAACACATAATAGCCAGATAGCTAATTTTAGGGTTCTGGTCCAAGTTTTTCAATGCAGACCCATCACCATAAGCAATATTCCCCAATGAAGACACAGAATCACATATGAAGATCAAATAAATAAATCACAGCCCAAACTGGAATGTACATGTGGCAACTACATCAAGTCTTTGTTCTTCATTAAAGACAAATAAAAGTGTATTTTCATTCCACATTCCAGATCAAGGCTCAGAAAACACTTTCCTCTATTCAGGTGTTTTCTAATTATGAGGCCATTATTACAAAATTGATCCTGAGAATAAAAGCATCATCACTGCAGTATTGTCTTTTTTGCTCCCCACTATTCCCTCTGTGTAGGATATAAGTTCTAGTCAGAACCCATGTATATAGAGTATGAATTCCCACAAAAAATTTTAACTCTGATATCTATCTATCAATCAAATGAGTACATACACATATTCATATATATGGGGAGCTGAGGAACTGCAGTGCATATTACTCCAAAAGGCAACATAGAAAGTGTGATTTATATGTATATAAAAGTGAATTTATGAGAATGAACATTATCTTTCTGTATTTCTCATGTAACATCATAGCTATTCACTTCTTAATCTATACTAATTTTCCAAGGAGTCTGTTTTCTTTATCAAAAGGAAGCTAAGTGAAAGTAAAAGTCACAGAACACTAATTTAAAATCTGATGGCTTGAGTACAGCAAGCACTTGAGATCATCTTCCTTGAACAAAGTCTCTCTGCAAAGGACTAGCAGTATATTTGAGGAAAACCTTTACTGCCATTACAGCCCATCCGCTCTTTAATAACTCAAGACTCTATGAATGGAAGCCTTTTAACCTCCATATGCATGTTTTACAAATAATTTCTGCATAATTTTGAGTCTTCATTATATGTATTTCCTTTTGGCATTTTTATTTTGGTTTGGTAATTTAAGGCATAATATTCGAGGCACAAAATAGAAAATACCTTTCTCTCTCTTTCTCTCTCTCTAAGGTGTAAAACCTTTATAAAATAGCCAGAATCCCTTTAATGATCTTTGGCCACAAATCTCCCCCACCCCAAACCAGGATAAGAAATTCTTTCGGAATTCTGTTTACAGATACGTAATGCATTTTTTTCTTTATTTCCAGCAATAGTAATTTTACTTTGATCTCATAGCCACCAAACCATTAACCACAAGGAAGCTCATAAGCAAGGTACAAGGCAGGCAATGTCTGTGATTTCCAGGAGAAGGTCATAACCCAGAAATTTTTTTTAAATAACTATTACAATGAGGAACGGGGTACAGCCACAAAAGGAATAGATATAATTTATGCCTGACTTACTTCAGCAGAATATAGTTTATTTATAAACTGCTCATGGCAAACTCTGTATGCCCCTGTTCTATGCATGTGCTGAACTGTCTTCTAGTAAATTATTTAAATTACACCTAGCAGTAATTCCTGAGGACTTTCATACTTCATTTTCTCTATTAATGTAACAGGGAAAAGCTGCTTTGCAAGGATTGCTCTAAATTCCCAGAGTGTGAGTTCCAGACTCTGTATGTGTTGCATTATGCCTGTCAAAAAACTTGTCTTCTCCTGAAATTTATTACTGAAGTTTCTCTACCCGAGCTACTCATTGAAGCTTTACAGAAAGCTCATACATGATTTAAGCAGCTAACAGCACTGAAAGAAATAGGTCAGGTTAAAAAAAAAAAGCTGAATTTAAGCTATCTTCACTTATTACTTATGCAAGATTATGCATAATTTAGCACACTGCTGAATATGCAAGGACAGAATAATTGTTTACCAAAATATTTACTCTGAGTTGGTACCTGTGTTTTACTGAGATAAGGTGACTTCTCAGCATTTGCTAATCACTTTTGAATTAAAAAACAATGCGTGAGTTTTTGATTGGGTTGATAACTGCACAACAGTATACGTAAACAGAGATCTTGTTTAACAACTTCATTCAAGTAAAATACATGATACTGTTGTACAGACTGAGCAGTTTCATTAAAGTCATCCCATTTTAGAAAACATTTCTCTCAATTTTTTTTCTTGACTGTAGTCCTATCACATACACGCATAAGTGTTGTAGAAAACCTCTCTGTAAAATGAGCTAGGTTTTTTCTAATGTAAGCTGAACATTACATAAAATTTTCTAAAGTCTGGAAGCAGGCCAAAAGGGTGAGGAGCCACTAATATGAAAGAGCAATTTGGGTTCAAAGCAGGGTCTTCAGGTCAGCTAGTTTCCTAAAGTAAGTATTCAGTAGAATATAAGCCTTGTTTGACATAACAGTATCTTTATTTGTAGCTTTTCAGAAGAATTTTTTAAAAGAAAAAAAATTCTGTTCCTGTAAGAGAGTGTTTGCCAGTGTTTAATTTATAAAATGATCAGTATCCCCTACATCAAGTTTAAAATTCCATAAAGCCATCTTACTTTTTAAGTTGAAAAAATGTCTCAGGAGGATGTAAATTCATTAATTTTCATAGTTTGAATAAGTCCAAATGTAATACACAATATAATTTTTATAATCCTGAAAGAACTGTCATATTTAACCCTTGTCCTGAATGAATTATGGTAGTGAACATAATTGTTTTTTAATAATGCATATTTATGACAGAAAACATAAAGATATAAGAATCCTAACACATTTAATTCAATCTTCAGAAATAACAACAAAGTAGTTGAAATTAGAAGTGGTATTAAAAAATAGATACCAAAATGAACAGAATAAAAAGCTACAAGTAGCTTCTATTCTTTTATCTATATCTACTCTAAATAAAAGTAGATTCTATATAGTTATCATATTTTAAAATGGGAAAATCTCAATATAATGGAAAAAATAAGAGAACTTTTATACAATGCTCTTTAAACTAACTAAAATTAGCAAATCCATGTGTAGATGAACACCAAAATAAATTTCAATTGTATTGAGTCAATAAAATGTTTAAATAATAGAAAATGAGAAAATTTATTTGAAGCTTCATAAGCTCTCCTAAAAGATGCTTATTTTATGCTTTAAAGTGATAGCAGAAATTAGAAAGCAAAAGATACATTTAACCATATAGAAAGAAAACCCTTTATAGGTTTTCAGAATAAGAAGGAATTTGGCCTACCTAAAAAATATTTACAGCAACTATGGCCACAAAGTTTATATATGTTATATAAATCTATTGTAAAATTGGTAAGAAATATGTTCAGATTTATTATAAGTAAATATGTATACATAGATAAAGATATCCATATACAGATATAAATTTATAGATAAATATGCATTCATCTATGTTTATTTATTTAGACTGCAATTTAAACAACAATGAAGTGACATTATTCTATCAAGCTTGATTTTAAAATCATGAGGCTCCCTAATGGTGGGATGGCAAGAAAAGTTAACCTTAGAAGTATTTATGATACTGAGAATTTTTAAAATGTTCAGAAAACAAATAGAAATATTCATGTTATTTGATACATTATATAGACATTAAATATTAAAATTGTCTATTTAGTAATATGCATAGGTTTTCACAAAATACATTTTTAAATTTAAGACAAAAATATAACTACAAGAGGATTATGTCTATATAGACAGGTAATGGGGTTACAAAAAGTAAACAAATACAATTGTGGATGGGAATCATGGTTTTATGAATAACAGTTTATCTTTAATTTTGTTCTAGCTGATTGTATAACAATTTTAATTATAGTATAAGTATTTCAGAACTTTATGTCCCAAAGTTGCGTGTTTGTGAATTATTTTCCATTTAAATCTCACTACTATCCTATGAGTTAGGAACTAAGCATGCCTCTCTAAGTGGTTTGAAGAAATCTCTTTTCAGTGGATTGGTGAGGCATTTGCCCATTTAAGAAAATTATTTTATTTTTGTTGCCACTGAAAATATACTGGGCAATAAAATTTTCTAAATAAAAATTTATTTCTTAAATAATGTTTTTCATTTCTTAAATAAAATTTAAGAAATTTTATTGCCCAGGATATTTTCAATGGCAACAAAAATAAAATAATTTTCACAGAACACATGTTTGGAATAGGATGATACATTACTAACATATTTCAATCATTTTACATAAAATTTATATGACCATAACTTCTAAGTATACTCACATATATTTAATGAGACAATGTATAGCCCTGCTGGCAGAGAAACTGCTAAATATTTCAGAATATATGGCCATAGGCTGTGCATGGTGGCTCATGCCTGTAATCCCAGTACTTTAGGAGGCCAAGGCAGGTGGATCACTTGAGGTCCGGAGTTTGAGACCAGCCTGGCCAACATGGAGAAACAGCGCCTCTACTAAAAATATAAACATTAGCCAGGCGTGGTGGTGTGTGCCTGTAGTCCCAGCTACTCAGGATGCTGAGGCAGGAGAATCACTTGAACCTGGAAGACAGAGTTACAGTGAGCCGAGATCACACCACTGCACTCTAGCCTGGGCAACAGAGTAAGATTCTGTCTCAAAAAACGACGACGACAAAAAAAAAAAAAAGTATATAACCATAAAGAAATGGGAAATTGGTTACTATTTAAATCCATTTGTTCAATAATTTTTCCAATAATTTTACTGAATTGGAGGACAATTTTTGTGAATATCTTAACTCAAAAGACATCACACATTAGATTCACTGATTAAATCAAACACCAGAAGGTTTAAAAGATCATTTTGGAAAAATTGTAATAACAGGAATTGCCAATATATGGATAAATAACCACATATGGATATTAGTCTTGTAATTTTTCAAATAATGAACATTTCAAATAATTGATCATTTTTTATCACAGGTTAACAAATTTAATACAAGGACATAGTCATAAAGTGTATGCATCCCAATGAAACTTTTCTTAAAAATTTTGTGTTCAACAAAAATATACTTAAAAAAAGCCTCATATTAATAAAAATCAAGTCTGTTAAAGCAGCATATTAATCACATTTCTTAACTGGCTGGATATCATAATCAAGAACTTCCATATTAATTTTAATATTTCTATACAAATACAAAAGAAATCATTTTGTATTTTTGTAATAATTTTACTATAAATTTTGCCTAATTCTCCATTCAATTCCTTTTTTAAAAATTTTTTATTCAAGATGTTTTTTCACAATTGCTTTTGCTTTTTGTTCATACTTATGTAAAATGGAAGAGGTAGAAATTCGAAGTTTTAGCTAAAGACATAAATTTTATGATATTTTTTATGTTTTGTTAAGAAATTACTGCTCTCTTTTCTACAAATTCAATCTTCAAAGAATGCTTTAAGGATTTTCTTCATGTAAGCATTAGAAAGTAGCTATGATGTCTGATTTCCCTTCAGGAAAAGGTCATCTTACTGCATTGGATGCTCAATGCTACTTATGTGTTGTCACTTAATTTATTTTTTTTTTTTGCAAAATTCCTTTGAAGAATACACTCTTTCTACCTCTTACAGTCATTTAGAAACCAAAGTAAAATTGAGTAATTTTCTGAAAAAGTGAAGTATATAAAATATCTTAAAACATTCCTCATTTTTATCAATTCATATTGCATTTCAACTTGACTTTGCTGCCTCAGTGTTTCACATTTTTCTATTTGTGTAATTTTCATGGTCGCTTGGGCTACAGATTTGTTAGTGTCCTATCCAAGGATTCTTTAAAATCATGGTATCTGTTGATCCTCTTTTCTTTCCTGTTTTAGCTCAAAATCTAGTTAAATGTATAAACATGAATTGACCTTCCGAAATTTTCTTCCCCTCCTTTTTAGCAGACTTGGATGTGAAAATTCATGAGGAAAGGGCAGCATATTCAATTAATAGTGCTGAAAAAAATTAGTTCATTCATGAAAAAATTTATAACTCTTGCTTGCACTAAAAGCTAACAACAGGTGTACTAAATACTATGAAAAACAAAAATGTAGTAATTTTTGTAGAAAATTCCAAAGAATATTGCATATTCACTATCTCAAGTAAAAAGAATTGACAGACTGGCAGAAATATATGCAAAGCATATACAAGACAGAGAATTAGTTATCCAGAGCATATGAAGAATTCATAGAAATCAATACAGAAAAAATACTAACATAAAGCAATAATTTGAGAAGGCAATTAAAAATAGAGGAAATCTGAACCTCTCCACCTCCTCTCCACTGTCCCTAGTAATCAGGAAATGGCCCAATGGGATATAATTTCACACCCAACAAATAGGGCAAGAAAATCGAGATTCTGAAAACATCAAGTGTTGTCGATGATATAAAGGTTACAGTCACATATTTTCAGCTGGTTGGAATGTTCATTGTTAAAATAACTTAGGGGACAAATTTAACAATATCTAATATAGATAAAGGTTCAAATTCACAGCAAGTTCAGTCAAAGTATATACTCTAACAACATTTTGACATTTGAGTACAAGAAGCTTATAACATCATTGTTTATTTCTGAGAGTGAGTGGTATAAAAAAGATATTTATTATACAATTTATATTTTCTAATGCCTAATGCATTTCAAATTACAATAATACAACATGTTATATTTATATAGCCATAATTCCAGCCACACATTATCACAAACACACATCAGCAGATGCAATTAATATGCATTCCAGTATAACACATGTATAAGAAAATTCATACTTTAAGCAAATTCGTTAACAGAAATAAAGAACCAAGTTCAATATTTTCCCCTTATTAATTAAGAACAAGTCTCCTATTTTGCCCTCTTTAAAAATAATCTTCATTAGGAATCATCAATCACATACTTATACCAAAGTTTGCATTCTTATACTATATTCAAGCAGAAATACAAAAGGGAAGTTATTGCAGTTTATTTCTAATCTGTGTGCAGTGGCAGTTCAGTGTTTTGCCCTCCTTACAGACTGAATCTTAAATTTACAGTGCTGCTTTCTGATTGGAAGGTTATTCTGTCATTTTAAAGGCCTCATAAATCAGGCAGAATAATCCTGCTCATTCAGTAGTCTTTTCTGAATCAAAATAACTTATTCTAAAAGAAAAAAAAATAAAGAGGACAGTGGGGCTGTTCATTAAAGCATTATTAATAATAATTTACATAAAATGTTATTCTTTTTTCCAACTAAAGTGGACAAGTGCCCAGTTAACCATAATATGAGGACTGTAGAAGAACACCATGCTTACATTCAGGTTACTGTTTTGAGAGCCCCCAGCTAAACTGGGGATCCAGTACCAGAGCAGTTAGCAACCCTGTCTTTATAGGAAGTGATAGGGAGCTGGATGTGGGTGTACAGTGAGCCTTCTGTGGGATACTTCTTTGACCTGGCAGATGACCCAATGCCTAGTTGTCCCCCTTGTAACCGGGGGTCCCTCACATGGGAAACCTGTTTATACTATCAAACGCCCTCGTGGCTAATCTGACTCATGGCTAGGTTTATGCCTGCCTGACAAATGTTCCAACACTGGGAGCCCAACTTTGTCTGCCCACCCCTTCCCCCATGGGGAAAACCTGGCTTGGAGTAACCCCTGGTTCTTCAGATGGAAGGCACAAATTCAACTCATTACCGCAATACTAAACAAGTTCAGGGTTTTACTTACAGATTCTAAGCAGGGAGAGCACAATGAGTCAGGAAGGCAGTCCTTCATCCCTGGGTAATAGGAGGCAGGGATGAAGAGTCAGGCAGAGAGAGAGAAGGAGAGAGCACATGGCAACTAGCAGTACATATAACGGAATAGGGTGTGAGTTTTAAGTTTTCAGGCAAATGCCTGAAGGGTCTGTTTAAAGGAAGTGGTGGGAAAGCAAGGACACCAGTCTGCTAGGCAGAAGAAATGACTCTAAGTTCTTATCTCTGGCCGCTGGCTTGCCATTTGGTGTGATGTTCTACTTCTAATGCGTAGGCCGCAAACTTTGCCCTGTTGTTCCCGTTAGTTACTAATGTGAAATATCTTGCTCTTAATTATGATTTTCTTGTTGGTATGCTATGTAGGCTAGACAGCAGGTGCTATTTATTTTAGATTTATAATCTCCCCAACAAATATCATACCGTGCCCCACTATTGACTATCATTTGTGAGGTAATTTAAGTAATATAAGATCCCTTCTAACCAATATATTCATTTATTTTATGATTCTATATAATAACCAAATCCTTAGCTTGAATTGTCAGAACAACTTTGTGTTTCCTCAGCCTTAATTCAAACTGCTTTTCCTTCTGCTTTAACGTGAACCACCTATCTGGTAATTTTTAATCAAAATCCCTAAACGCATTTAGTCATTACTGCTTTATTTATTATTGAGAAACTGTATTCTGTGTATGGTGTATGTATTAGTCTGTTCTCACGCTGCTAATAAAGACTTATCTGAGACTGGGTAATTTATAAAGGAAAGAGGTTTAATAGACTCACAGTTCCACATAGCTGGGGAGGCCTCACAATCATGGTGGAAGGTGAATGAGGAGCAAAGCCAAGTCTTATATGGCAGCAGGCAAGAGAGCATGTGCGGGAGAACTCCTCTTTATAAAACCATCAGATCTCACGAGACTTACTCACTATCATGAGAACAGCATGGGAAAGACCTGCCCCCATGATTCAATTACCTCCCACCAGGTCCCTCCCATGACACATGGGAATTATGGGAGCTACAATTCAAGATGAGATTTTGGTGAGCACACAGCCAAACCACATCAATGTACTATGCTAATTTGATAATAGTATGTCAAAAATGAATATAATCTGTATGCTGTAGAAATTCAAAGTCTATTGACAGAAGAATAGTCAACAAACAGAAATTTCAAGGTGAGTGAGACCATTCCAGCATGGGGCAGGAAGAGGCTGTCCTTGACAGACATCTAGGGCAGTTTTAGGAGGCTTTCTGAAGGAGAGTTCATCAGCTTGAATTGAAGAATGAGCAGGAGTTAGGACAAGAGTTAAGGGTGAGGTGGCAAGGAGTGGGGAATGGTGAAGTCAGGTAGGGAAAAACTGTTCTAGGCAGAAAGGGCAGCCTACTGATCAGCTTTGAGTTGGAAAAAGCATTTATAAGTGAGCTGGGTTCTTTAGTTTACTATCTCCATCTGGAACAGCAAACAAATGGACATATACTGTTGTATAACATACACAGCGGACTATCAATTTATGTCTTTCTCTTCACTCAAAGTGACACAAAAACTTGTATTGCAGAACACCCACAATTTACTCCACTCCAAATTCATCAGTGTTTTATTGAGGATTTAGATGGTTTAAACATGCTAACAAACAGCATGCTAACTGTTTGCTAGCTGAACAGTTAGCTGAACTATATAATTTTTTTACATCTATTGAAGCATATCAGCTGCTATGAACTAAATGTGTTTCCCCCCAAAATTCATATGATGAAACTTAACCTCCAAGATGATAGTATTAAGAGGTGGGGCTTTTGGCGGTAACTAGGTCATGAGGGAAGAGCCCTCATGAATCACATTAGTGCCATTATAAAAGAGGTTTGAGGGCCTTTGACTTCAGCCATTTAAGGACACAGCTAAAAGGTATTATCCATGAGGCAGAGTGAGCCCTCAGCAGACACTGAATCTGTTGACACCTTCATCATGGACTCCCCAGCCTCCAGAACTGTCAACAACAAGCTTCTGTTTATAAATTACCAAGTTATAGCAGCTTGAAAGAACTAGCATACCAACTATCCTATAAGTTACTAGAAGTTATGCATTTCATTTTATTTCTAGCTCACCCTCAATATCTAGAAGAATGCTTTGGAAATGGTGTACACCTAGCAAATGTGCTTACTTAACAATCAGTAAACAAAGAAACAAAAAAAAAAACTACCCTACTCATTAAGATTCTAATAAGAAAATATTGGCAATAACAGCTCCTTTAAGTTTTTATTAGTAAGTAGAGATTATCTTACAAATACAATGTTTTCAATTATGGGTAATAAAAAATCAATATTTAATTAAATATTAATATTCCTATATATAGAGAAATATATACATCTCTCTTGGGTACAAATATAAAGACATGAATAATGAGTATTTATATAAATACTCATTATTTATATGGTTTTTGTACTAATTGTTAATCACTAAGGCCCTTTAATGAATCAAGAAAATGCAATGTAACTTCTAATATATTTTTCTATCACAATTTTTTTATTTTGATAGGTTACTTTGAATTCTATTTGAGTAAAAAATAAATCCCAACATTCCCAAATAATTTTCTTATATTATTTAAGATTGTTTTAGCCCCGCTTAATAGAAACAAAGCTTTCATTTGTTTCACAAAAACAGCAGTCGGTGGAGAAGGGGAGGTTTCCTGACTCAAAGATTTCATACTCAAAATGAAAATCTAAACAATTGCAAGAAGCTCAGGGATTTGGTAGACCTTGGAGGCTATGAGAACTAAAAATTTTAATGCTGCTGGGCCACTGTCTTCATTTATTTCCTTTCAATTTTTTATATGTTATTAGCATACTCTTCATAGACCTCCACTTTCCATATGCCCACTGACAGTTCCCAAGTTTTACATTTTATAGCATTATCCACCAGAGAAAGAAAGAGGCTCCATTTCAATTCCCAACTTTCTAGGAAATGGACTATGATCAGGCAGATTTGGATCAAGCATTTACCCCCAGATTAACAGTGGACATAGTGGATCAGGTTGAATCAAGGAAAAGATGTGGAGGGGATACCTGGTATATCATTTGGGGCAATTCTCAGTTGAAGGTGAGCAAGCTAGCTATTAGCATAATTGCTAATTTCATTTCTCTTCCACTTATAATAATAAAGATTATTACTCAGTTATTACTCAGTGAATGTCAATAAATAATTTCTATGTTTTTTTAAATATGGGATAAACATTCTATGTTGAATGTATTATATATTTTCTGTATCACATTAATGTGCCAATAAAACACATGATTCATCATTTATTAGGATCTCTAAAGCCTGCTCATATTACAGTATTAATTATATATGTCTCTGAGTGTGTATATATATATATGTGTGTGTGTGTATATATGTATATCTATTTGTGCATACACACACACACACACACACACATAATGTCCAAGGGAAAATTAATGTTAAAAAACCATCCTAGATATTATTGGTGATGTATAAGGGAAACCATGCCAAAACAGGTAGGCCAGAGTGTCTTTCAACTAACCAAACCTGTCACAACAAATGCCACCTGTAGGAGGAAACCAAAGACTGTCTATAATTCAGCCTCCTGTATAAATATGTTGTTAAAATGAGAGAACAAGCTTTGGTTAGGTCAACTTGAAAATTCTGCACTGATCAACATTTGTATTTTTCATTGTAAATTGATGAATTGTCATTTGATGTTTACCGTAGCATTCTCTGTGAGCGTGATAAATGGGTATCCAGCTGTGTGGAACCTATGAACTCTTGGTGTGCTGACCTAAACACATTTGCTGATCCTGAAAGGCTGAGAACCAGATACTGGAACATTGCAAGTTTACCAATGGAGAGATAAGAGATGTTGGCGATCTCTGGGTGGTCAGCCTGGGTAATTCAGTCAATTATCTGCCTCATTGGACAATCGTCAAAATGCAAAAGATACATTCAATTTGATTTGGTAGCTTTTCTACAGATAAAAAATTAAACAATTATTAAACACACATTTCCAGAGAAAACAACAGAGCTTCCCCCCATCTCTTTGTTTGCAATTGATTTCTAAGGAAAAACATTTTCTTTGCTTTTTAAGAAGACCACAATCTTCTTACAATGTCAGCATTGGACCTCGATTATATTTCATTCTGCTTTTACTGTGCACACTCTGTTAGCTGCAAACATATATTTCTGCCACGTTAAGTTTGTATATATGTCTGCTTTTATATATAATGGAATGTTTATGCCACTGAAGGGTTTCAAATAGCATAACTTTGGAATAAAAACTTGCAGATCCCCTAAGTGACTCTAAACAGGATCAGGCAAAGCTTATGTAACCAAACAAATAATCTTAATCTCATTTTGTCTTTCTATTCCCCATTTTTTAAAAAAATGATTCTTAGTAAAGTTATAGAAAGCAGTACTGGCAGCAATCTCATTGCCATGTTATCATTGATGAAAAGGGAAGTAGGAATCAGTCACTGATCATTAAATCCTTTTATAATCCACTAAAACATTGCTGCTGATTTCTCCAGCCCTATTAAGCTCTTGTATTTAAGTTTCCGTTAATAAAACACATCTCTTAGTCACAATGCAATTTAAGACTAGTGCCTCAACACTAGGCTAGATTTTAAATAATATTTAGCTTTCATAGAAATACTATGGTAGATTTTACCTTGAGTCATTTATTTCTCTGCATTGTACTAATTGCACTGGTACAGCTCTTCAAACAAAGTATTTTTATTTTCAAATGAAAGCAACAAAGTAACTGTATTCATTGAAGAGAAGCATTATTTATTTTCAATTATATCATTGTGCTTAAACATGCACCCCTACAGGCTATAGCAACCACCTATGTGCACTTAAGTCTGTAAGTTGCTGACATCAGGTCTGCTATTTCACTATTTCTCTACCTTGAATTCTCTCCTCCTCCCTCTCTATTGATCAGTAAGCGTACTTTTCTTCCCCCCAGTATCAGCTGAATCTTTATTTGGTTGAGATAGGCTCATGACACCCACGGCAACTGACACCATCCCTTTATGAGAATGTATACACTATCTACAAAGCAACTCTTCCTCACTTATCTCACACTTATGTATACTGCTTTGAATTGTTTGCAGACTGCTTCACATGTGTACCATTCTTTCAAATACTATTATCCAAAGGTCCATATCTCCTACTTCACTCCTGTGGATTACCTGTATATTCCACAGCAAATTAGTAATTTATTATTGACATACAGAGTAGTTATTTACTATGAATTGAAGTTTTTTACTGTTCTTTTCATTTCTAAATCAATTTATAATTTTCCATGTCTCTAGCTAGGACCATTTGCATTTCAGTCTTTCTCAATCCTAAAAAGAAGATGATATAAATGATCAGGTTACAAACTTTTTGAAATAAAATAGAGTATTATATATTATCTGAATATTCAACAAAACAGAGGACCAGACTTTATTTTTTATTCTGATCCTTGTTCTCCAGGCAGGATATAAAGATGTCAAAGATTCCAAATAAATATTTACTAATCAGATGAAATGAAACAGGTTTAATTGTGAACATGTGATTGGTGGGCTAAAACTGAATTTAGGGACTACAAATTATAGTGACTTAATTCAAATGATACTGTTTCAATTTCTGCTTGCAATATATTTGTGAAGTCCCTATAGTTTTGTTTAAAATATGGATCTTATATGCACAAATTCTGGAACCCTAGCCTTATGTTTCTACAAAACCATTACATTTATATATTTAGGTTGTGTTAATTTCTTGCTAAAATTTAGGTTGTACAAGTTGTTTTAAATTCTTGTTAAAATGTGCGGTCAGCAAATAATTTTAAAGAACAAAAGTGAGTAGTTATCAAGGATGTCAGTAAACATAGAATTAGGCAAGGACATACGAGTCAGTCTTTCAGCAGTATGAAGCATTGAAAGTAAAGGCAAACACTGCAATTACTCTTTCACCAACCTAATATGTTTTTCAATATTTGTTTTTAGATGTATAGAAGCTGTATGCTTAGAAAGAGAAGCGTAGGACCTGAAAACAAATCTGAACAGAACTGGTATAACATAATCAGTTCAATATTTTCTGAATTTGGTCTGCATATTTTGATTTGGCCTCTATTGTAATCTACTCGAGGTTTGGAGAATTAAGTCCTCAGTATTTCACAAGGTAATGTATGAAGAGTTTGGATTCGTCAGCTAAACCGTCTGATTTGAAACCTGCATCTTCTACTACTTACAAGCCTGTGAACTCGGGCAACTTCCTTAGCTTCTCTGGGCCTCAGTTTTGTCATCAATAAAATGAAGAAAAAAGTGTTTTGAGAATTAAATGCTTTAATATATTTAAAGTGTTAGGAAGATACCCAGAATAGAATAGGTATTCAATACATGTTATTATTATTATTATTAAGTTTTCATAAAAATATAGCTTTGCTCTTGTTCTGGCACTCGTGGTTCAGTGTATATAATAAAGAAGACTATAGAAAATCAATTCAATCTTCAATGATTTCAGCATTGCAAAAGCTAAATAATTTTCTTCCTCAATAACTGCTTTTCTTGATAAAAGTCACTCTTAGTGGGTTATGCTTTTCTCTATAAAAATTCTTATTCACCAACACTTTTTTTTACCCTCTTAGAGAGTGTGTCAAGTTAATACGGAACTGGCATAATGCTCAGGCTTATAATGACTAGACCTCTATACACAGGCTAAGAGAAAACAAGATCTCTCTTCTGTGTTAGAATATACTGTTCTTTAGTCTCTCTGCCTTGGCTTCTGATTTCTGCCTGCCTTCACGGCAACCTGGCTCCACCCAATCTGTGCCTCAACTCCCTCTCTTCCCTTTCTTACACACTACATACCCTCTTCTGAGGTCAAAGAACAAACAATAAAATCACAGCTATTTTGTACATTAATGCAGAGAACACTAATCTTCTTACACATCATAATCAGATTTTTTCAATGATTATCTGTAATATAGTCATCACTCTAAAAAGTTAAAAATCTAATTATAAAGCTGTAATTTATTCAGAATGATAGATTCCCAGCTTCATATGTTCCTTTGCAACTACTTGATAGAGATTTTTCCAAGGAATATTTAGTTAACTTGAGACTTTTGGAATTTTCCCTACATTTGTCAATATAGGGAAGAAAGAGCTATGTCTAAATAAGTGACTAATAGTTTTGGGTTTACGGAATTTCGATTGTCCCTATGATTTCTATTCCCATTTCATTAAGTAGTAAGGAGAACTTCCAAAACAGCCTTTGTTAAAAACAAACAGTAAATGAGGAAAGAAAGCCAGAAAAATAAATATATTTAAGAAAATCAGTAACAGTGCAGTGCATTGCAAGCCATCACACTGTTCTGGATTCCAATATTTTAGGGCGTAAAAACTTCTCAGAAACTTACTTTCCAGACTATCTATTCAAATATAGTAAACAAATTGTCCTATTTTAAATGGGATCAAGCGATGACTATGTGTTTCTGGATACATTTACACACAACCTGGACATGAATACACCTAGAACCAGTGGACATGGGCATCTGCTCTTCTTGGGGGCTTACAAATTAATCCTTAAGCTGTTTGAGAAAATATGATTACTTATCTTCAAGCTACTCAATACTATGCAGCTCTCCTTCACTTCTTTTACATGTTTACCTTTCTCTTTTTTTATGATTCTTTGGTCTAAGCACTTTTCATTATTATACAACCTAGGAAGCATGGAGTGAGTTATGAAAAATAAGTGGTAAAACTAACAAAGATCAATATTGTGTTTACCAACATAAGTGCCCATCAGAAGCTGACTCCAGGTGAAATTAATGATTAACCCTTCGAATCACTAAGTGAAGGCAGGGGAATGGCTGGAAGCTGCAGAGGGTTCAAGGTGAGAAGTGGCAGCAAGACTGTATTCAAGTAGAATTTCTCTGTGAGCACTTCTAATGAATTGTTTCAATTTACTAGAAAAAGACCTGTATCTCCAAGCCTCCTGTCATTTGTTGTGATTTGTTTTCTCATTCACAAATATTCACTTTAGAACATAGTTTTGTAAGCACGATGTTATACTCTTTTTTATTTAAGAGGATGCCCGCCAGAATCATATATGCATCAGACCCCACAACACCTGGATCTGTGCGTTTCTCCCATATTGTCTGATATTTCTTCTGATAATTTCCCTTCCTGCTGTGGTCTTATTTGGCATTTGAATAAAAAGCTTATTTGTACTAGTAATAATAACAAATACAAACCTTTCTATAAGATTGTAAAATTTCCAAAGCATTTCACACACGTTATGTGATGTGCCCTCACAACAAAATGTAGATTAGGGGGATATTGACATGACTCCTTTATTACAGGTAAAAAAACTCAGATTCACAGATGTTAATTAATTCATGAGTAGACTTTCCATTGAGCTCAAGTTAAGAACAGGTAAAGGGGTGGATCAGTGCTATTTTGACAAGATGTTCCATTGCTAAAAACTGCATTCTTTATTCTGGGAGAAATAAGGTCATAATTAAATTGGGAGAAACTAGGTTTTGCATCATATTTACCAATATTTATTTAATCTACCCTACACAAAATGCATACCAAATAATACTAGATGACTAAGTAACAAGAGAACTGAAAGGTGAAAATTAAACATATCAAATTAATATATGTGCCTTATTCAGAATTTTTAGCAAGGTTGCCACAGTGTAATTGTTAAGGTTGGTTTTTGTTTTCTGTTTTTGTTTTTGTTTTGAATTCCAACTAAATGACAATCATTATGTTATTTTTTCATAAAAACTTAATATAAATGATTTCAAAATATTTGATAGCTTTTATTTTTAAAATAAGCTGCATAGCTGCAGAGCCCCATAGAGAAATAGCAGCGATACCACACAAGGTGGTTAAACAGCTTATGAATTAAGCTCCATATAAGCAAATTTCTTTGTAAGTAATTTATATTGTAGGGTAAACTTGTATCCAACTAGAACAGCAAATTAAAACATTAATCACATCTGTAAAATTTAGGGCCTTGTGCATACAGAAAAAAAATATTAGGGAAATACATTTTCTTGTATTGCTGAAATAAATATTCCACATATGGAAGCCAGTCTAATCCTTCTCATTATAGTGTGGATGAAGATGAACATTAAGCCCATATAACATTTCTTCCTGAATTAGTCGATAGCTCATTTTAGTAGGTAGCACATATTTCCAAACCTGAAATGCCCATGTTCAGTCAGATTTGCAGTCCCCTTTTCCCTCACTGCTCAGGCTTTCCATCACTGTTAGGTAACCACTGTGATTATTCCATATCCCATCCTGATGAGATGGCAAAACAGCTACAAGCTTTCTTCCCTGCATTAAGCAGGTTGTAAGCCATGGAAAACTAACTTGCCCTGAAATTATCAAGCATTCCAGCACTCTGTAGCTGTACCAAGGCAGGCAGCCTGCCAAAACACATACAAGACACTACTAGCCCCTATTCTCAAGCACATTTTAATCCAGCTGTTCCTCACAAAACATCCAGCATGCTTTGATTTACTGCTCTACTTAATTAGAATGTAGAGTATGGGAGACCATCTTACACACAAGAAAAGCATCCTGAATGATATTTTAAACTTTATCAAACATGATGGTGGGTTTTTGTTAGTTTGTGTGTGTGTGTTTTATTATCATAACCAGATATTGAACTGTGTGTACAATGTTGCTGCATTTCTGGTATTGGAAAACTGAACCCAAACATGAAGATTGACTGTATGGAGAAGGAAGGAAAAACAAATCTATTTCCAATTGCCATTCTAGATACAATCAAGGCAGTGTCTGCTTCAAGCTCTCCATCCTGCAATGAAAATGCCACTGAGAGAATTCTATTGATCCCAGCTCAGGAAATAAAACAATACAATTTTTTCAAACTCTTAGTCTCCAATTAGAATTTTAGGGGGGTTGAATGAAATTATAAGGAGGTTTCTACGTTATGAATGTGGCTGTGTTGCTATCAGGTATTTCCTTCAGGGACATAGCTCCCCTGAGCGACCAGTCCAGACAGGTTCAAGCAGAGCCTCCACCTGCCTGGCATCCCAAATACATGAGGGTCATCTAACAGGAGAAATTTCCAAATGCAGATTTAATTAAGTGGAACACAATTTTAAGCGTAAGTGCTATAATCCCTAACATTCCTTACAGATGGAAAAATGAAGATAGCCATAGTAAAATATTGAAAATTTTGATAATACTGGGTGCTTTGAGCTCTATGATAAACTAACCCCATTATTTCACAAAAATTAAATTAGGACATTCGCTTATTATTCAATATTCAGTTATTGAAAAAAGATGTTATTTCCTTAACAGGTCTAAAATTCCTCCCCCAGATAAAATAATATCTTATCTAGAACCTGTATTTTAGCACCACATATTACATAATCATGATTTAAGTAATTGATTGAATGTAAGGTTTTGTTGAATCCACAGAAAAGGAAACATTAGCTTTCCCATGAGTTTCTAATTCATATGCTTCCTCTAATTTCACATCTTTTTTTTTTTTCAAATGTAAAACATACCAAGAGCAGTGAGGAGCGAAATAAAAGAAAGAAAGAGAACCAGAAATTTCCCTAAAAAAGTATCTTTAAAACTTTAATACATTAGGGTTTTAAATATTATAAAGCTGATTTTTGTAATCTGAGAATAGCATACATAATATACATAATTTACATTGCACATTAACATAACTGTAAATTCATTTATTATCCTTCATAGACTTATTTCATAACCAAGGCAGGAATATTATATTTTTAAATAACAAGAATATTGGTGAACTGTTGTCAGCAGTAGGTATACACTCACTTCTGTTTATACTTTAGCATTTTACATTTATATACTTACAAAGAATAGCATGGCATTTGTTTTCCAAATGGCCATTTCAATTATTTAATGGTTAATTTAAATTCCATGCAATTCTTTGAATAATTATGTAAAGAGTCTCTCTGAGTTTTGTGTATGTCACACCAAAACAGTTAGTTTTGTAGAAAACTATTCAGCCAAATCTTGGGTTGATGTTACTAAGGATAATACATCTTTCAGATTTTTTTCCTAGCAAGTGATTGTTTTGGCACCACGCATTCGTTATCTGTGTTCCTATTCCAAAGCTTTTTCCAATCATTCCTGAAATTCTTAATCAATAAATGTTACCACAGAAGTTTCCTAATGTATATTGTGTAATTTAAAATCTTTGCTTATTGAGCAATAAGCATTATGAGTGACACTGCTTCATAAATCAGGGCATGTAGATGAGAAGCAGGAGGAGGAGAAGGAGGAGGAAGGGAAAAAAGATGAATTTAGAAAATGCAGCAATCAGAAGCTACAAACAAGAGAAGAGGATACCAAAGTAGGATCCACAGAACACTAGTTCTGTGAGATACTTAGTAAAAAATATACAGAGAGATTCTGAGGTCAAACACTTTTGATAACACTGTACAATACAACCTCTCTTGAAGTTTTACAATGGATTAATATTCTAATACATATCAAAGGCTCTACAAAGTTTACTAGGAAAAAATGTGTTTAATTTTGTTAACTACTGTGGTAGGCACTGAGATGCCTACCTCAAGATCCCCCTGTAAGGGAGTGTGTGCTGCCCAGCTGCAGAAAGTGCATCCAGCACTCACCCCCAGCTTTCAGCTCCAGGGCAGCTCCCATCTGTTGTCTGAGCCAGAGGCCTCAGCATTCTGACCCAATGCACAACCCTTTGACAAGCAGCCTTGCTGCTGTGCACTGCTCCAGGTTTGCTGATGCTTTGTCCCAAGCTTTTGCTGCCATTCAATTCCCTCCGCCCAATAGGATTGTTCCTCCATGTTCCTTTCAGAAGTGTTGATCTCCCACCTCTGCCTCAGTCTGATTTTAAATAATCCAATCTGAGACAACTACCATCCAAGAACTTAATTTGACCTTGCTATTTATTTCTGAGCACTTGCTTTGGGGAAGGCTCAAATAAGGGGTCTGGTGGCACAACCCCTTCGTCAAGACTTAGGAACAGAGTGCGCTGAATCTAACCTGGAAACAATTTCACTCTTTACCTGTGCATCTCTGACTTGTCCAGCAGAGAAGTCAATGAATTGTTCTCTCTTTGACCCCTCCTTCAGTCTTTACAATTTTATTGCAAGTATCATCCGGAATTTTAGAAATTAGAGTTGTGTTTTTGTTCATGCTTAAGTCCTTATATATTATAATCCAAATTTCTTTCAAGAAGACTGTTTTCAGTTACTTTTATGGCTAGAACATAAGATCAGATGGTTTGCTCTCTGTGAAGGAAGTTATGAGCAGAGTAGCACTTTACCTATTTCTAAGGAGTATACTTAACATATTCATTTTTGGGACTTTATACTTATCAGGAAAAAATTTAAATATTGGCTATTAAATTACTATTAAAATGTAAGCTATCCATCTCCACTAAAATCACTTGGCATCCTTGCATCCCTAACTGATCAGTAATTAAACTCCAAGTTTAGGACACAAGTTCATTGTAATACTCTAACAAGCAATTTGCTGTTTTCATGATTAATTTTTTAAATAATGTAATATTTTAGTTTAAATATTTTTATTTCATTTCTAAAGAGTATAACATCTAAATATTCACTTTTCACAGAGATAAATTATCATGAAATGTGAAACATTTGACCTAAAGTTGAAACATTTTAATAGATATTAAAAGAGCCCCCAAAGATAAATCTTTATAGAACAAATTAAAATTCTTGCACTCCATAACTTTTCTATATGAACGTTATTGAAGAGAAGAATATCTTTATCTTTCCTTGGTTTGAAATTTAGGTAGGCCATGTTATGACATGACAAAGAAACAAGTTGTAAACACACTCTGAGTACATATTTAGTAAATTTAAAATATAATTGCACTCGAGGTTTGAAATCAGGTTAATTTTAATTGTCATCATTTTAAGGATATATTTGGATGTTTTAGTTCTAAGGTTTATCCATTGTTACATATGAACTGTTGTTTTTTTTTTTTTTCAAATATCTAGTGAACAGTTTTACTAATTTGGTTTGACTAATACAATGAGCACTGTTACCATTGCTGGGAAATAATAAACATGTTCTATCCCTAAGCTGTATACATGTTTATTAAGCACAAAGTATTATGCAAATCATATATTTAGAGTTTGCCACCAAAAGTAAACAAAGAAATGAAAAGAATGAACTAGAAAGATCATCAAATAAAAAATGTGAGTTTCAACCACAGTACCAGAGTAGAGAAAGTGGTGACAAATTGCCATTTCTTCAGTATCTGGAGAACTTTAATTTCCTTTCATTTTTGGAGAAGGGGGTGGAGTCTCAACACTTCAACACATTTTGTCGTGAGGGCAGAAAGGGGTGTTAAATGGTTTTCCTCAAGCTTATAGCACACAGCTCTCTGCTGCTAGGTGTACCAGTAATTCAGTTGCAAGTAAGCTAATGAAGAAATTAAATCACTTGCCTTTTTCTTGTCTCTTTCTTAGAGAGGTTGCATTTTGTGCTGACAGTGCAGAGTTGATAAAACAGCAATTTTTGAAAAGCTTGCTCATTTAGCTACTCTCAGAACCCCTGCTGACATCACTGACATTTTCTCCAAATATGCAAATACTGTAAGTCACTTTCTAAGATGCATGCATATATTTCCAAAAATGTTATTATTTTACGATCAACTAGGCATAAATGCAGAGGCAGACTAGTTTGCTGGCTTTGTAATGCCACACTCATGAAATGAGTTTTTTTTTTTAAATGAGATTTGGTGAGAATCTGTCACAGCCTCATAGATCTTTAAAGGTGAGTTAATCCTTTTATATGGAGAGGGGGTTATTTTAAGGCTTTTCCATTATATAAACATAAAAATGGGAGGTAAAAGCCCGTAAGCCCAGCAAACTTAAGTACCTGGGTGACAATGGCAATATTATCGTTAAACTCGACACACAACTTTTGAAATACAGCGCAGATGCAGTAGGCGTGAATACTATCTTATTTAAATGTCTGTATTAAGCACAGCCACTCTCTGCTAAAAATGGGGAAAAAACAAACAAGTCATATTCATCAAAGTAATTGTGTAGGTACTTTCAGTACCAAAATGCCTAGAATGAAGGATTGAACTGCTAACGGCAGCAGTGACAGCCATGAATCATGGTAGGCTACTCCGGGGCCTTTACCACCATAAAACAAAAGATGTAGATGAAAAATGCTGCAATTAAGTGATTTGATTTCTGCCCCCTTTTTCCTACTGCATTCGTGCATGGCTGCACAGCAAAGATTGATGGGAAAAATTACTCTACGTGATCTCTGACAGAGCCTTGGAACAATTCTATAAGGGGGAAACATACAAATCAAACCAGCTTTCTTGTATTCAAACAAAATAATACATATAAAGCAAATACTTTAGCCTATATCCAAAGCACAAAATTTGCATGCACACATAAATTGTTGAGAAATGCTCTGCTATCAAAACCAAACTCATGGATTTTCCAGCTAGTTGGGTTATACTGATATTTGTTTAAATAAATATTCAATCAGTACTGCCGAGTGGCATCTTCAATATGTCTGTGTTCTGAGAACAAATTACAGATACAAATTTGTGGAGGTAAAACATTCTTATCTTTTATATCAATAAATTATTAATGAAAATACACATAAAATAAAATAATAGAAAATTTCACTGACTATTCAACTCCCCTGTCATTATAGTCATTTAGAAGGACATTTTTAATGGGGATTCACCACTCAGTTGGGGTCCCACATAGAAAAGAATCATACTTGAATACAAGAGACTATTTTATTGTGGTTGATATGTATGTTTAAAAGACGCTAAATTTGCAACATCCACTGAATAAAATAAACAATACTGCTAATATGAAGAAAAGATAACTCCTATTATCAGAGGCTAAAGTAAAATTATATGGGTTTCATCACCTGAGGAGAGAAGGTCACTCAGTCTCTGTCCACTGTAAGATATGCACAGTCAATTTAACTTGAATTTGTGCAATAACATTGCCCCCTCCCCTGAATGGAGAAGAACATGTATATACTTGACTTTGTTATGTGTACTGAGGCTGCATGTAAAGGCTACTAGTATAGTGATGTTGAATTGGATACATTCTTATATTCTATCTATAAACATTTATACATCTGTCTTTCAAATATTGGGGTGCTTTAAATTATGAGTTAATGACAGCATTTTGAAAGACAGTAAACAGTTTCAATATTACTATTTATTTATGTCTAGTCAGAAACTTTCAAAAATACATTCTACTGAAATTTATTTTACTACAGCTGCTCAGGCAGTTACCCAAAAACAATGTGCTTAATTGTTGTGGTTCTTTTGCTGTCAGCCACAATAGGAAACCTCAGGGTCCCAAGGCCAGAATTCATTAGTGGATCCTCTGACTTTAATAATGAGGAAATCTGTGAAATACTAGCATGGTTTGATGAAATATTACAGACTTGAAAATCAGGAGACCTGGGCTCGCCACTAATTAATATTAGGCTGAACCACATGAAATCACTGTTTTTGTAGTCCAAAAATGGTTGAATATCACAATTATAAGTGGTTCAACCTATTTAGTTTGGTATAGGATAAGCACTCATCTTCAATTTCTTAGGTATAAAATAGACAAAATGAACATTTGCAATTCTTACCAGTAGGTATTTAATATGCCTTGGTGAAATTTATATTTTTTATCTTTATCTGTTTGGTAATAAGTGTTACCAGTAGGTATTTAATATGTCTTGGTGAAATTTATATTTTTTATCTTTATCTGTTTGGTAATAAGTCATATACTTTACCAGCGATCATTAAATAAGTTAGCAACTATATCAATTTACCAAGCTACAAGGATTTATCTTAAGGAATCAAGGTAAATCTATACAATAAATTCATTTAGTGAAATTTCCATAAGAACTCATTTAATTCTTTCTTTTATAAATGGGGTTTTGTTTATCTATTGGGACACTTAAAAGATTTTTCACTTTATTTTTGGTAGATTTTCTCTTTCTTATATAAAAACAAAGAATATAAGTAGCAAAAAAAAAAATGCCTGAGGACAATATGGAAATTTAAACATCATCATCATAGTAATAAATATGCTGTGACTGAACTTAAAATCTGGTTCCGAGCTTCCTGGCAGACAGAATAAAAAGGGAATAAATGTTAATGTCCTCTTGTCTTTCATCTTTTATATTTAGATTCTTAAGATCAAGAGACATCTCTTATTCATTTAGATACTATGAAGTAGTCTCTTCCTTTATATCCTGCCCCTTCTATTAACTATTTTTCTTTTATGGAATTTTTAGTAAGCAATTAAATAGATCAGTGTAGAAACTACATTCTATAGAAGACTTCTATTATCATATTGTTCAATATTTCATACATGGGAATGTATGGCGGTGTATAGGGAAACCCTGGTAACATAACCATAAATTGAAAAAAAAAAAAACCTTAAAATACTTGATCCCCCAATACCAGCACAATTAAGTTATTTTTGTAGAAATAACTAGTTAGATATATACTATCTTAAGTATTTTAGATTATTTCAATAGTGCCAGTGATAGTATCTACTAAAATTAGAAATTTAAAATATTTTCTATTCTCTTATTTTTTTTACTAAGGTATGATTGGCATACAACAAACAACACATTTGAAGTGTAGAATTTCATAAGACTTTACATATGCATACACCCTTGAAACTACCACCATAATCAAAATAATGAGTGCATTCATCACACCTGAAAGTTTTCTTGTGCTCCTTTGTTATCCCTCCCTCATATTTCTCTCTTCCCTACTGATGTATTTCTGTCACTGTAGATTAGTCTGTACTTTCTATAACTTTATATAAGTGAAATCATACGGTGTGTCTTTTTTTGTCTGACTTCTTTCATTCAAAACAATGATTAATATTTTGAAATTAGTCCATGGTATTTGCATATATCTATAGTTCAGTTTTTGTCAATGCTGAGTTAGTGTTCCATTGTAAGAAAATATCACACTTTTTAAAAACATGTTCACCAGCTGATGGACATTTGTGTTGTTTCCAGTATGAGTTATTACAAAGAAAGCTGCTATAAACATAGCATCTTTTCTCTTAATATTGTTGAGAGAACAAAAAGACGCAGATTGAGAGAAAATATTTGCTAAGCATATATTTGATAAAAGACTTTTATCCAGAACATATAAAGAACTCTCAAAATCCAGTAATAAGGAAACAAAAAAACTATTATAAATAGGTAAAAGATTTGAAGACATTACCAAAGAAGACATACAGGTAGTATATAAGGACATATAGGAAGATAGTCAAAATCATTAGTCATTAGGGAAAAGTAAATTTAAAGCACAATGTGATCCCACCTATTGAAATGGCTAAAACTAATATAAAAGGCTATACCAAGTCTTGGCAAGGATGTAGAGAAATTAGAAGCTCCCATAAACTACCAGTAGGAGTGTAAAATGGTATACCCTCTTTGGAAAACAGCTTGACAGTTCCTTAAAAAGTTGAAGATATACCTATTGTATGATTTCGAAATGAATTATTTTTAAACTGATTTTAGTAAAAGATAATTCTTAGCAGGCTTGAGGCTAGAAGTATGTTCCTTGCTTAGCATAATCTCTGTTAATGCCTAATTCCCTCCCCTTTTAACAATTTAAGCATTAAATATCCTTTATATGCCATTAATTTCCAATTTTATATGTGTATCACAGGCTTTGCTATTGAACGCTAAACTTGAATATCCAAAACTTATTTTATTAATAGTAGTTCTTACTGGCCGGGGGTGGTGGCTCACACCTGTAATCCCAGCACTCTGGGAGGTTGAGGTGGGTGGATCACCTGAGGTCAGGAGTTCAAGTTCAAGACCAGCCTGGCCAACATGATGAAACCCCATTTCTACTAAAAATACAAAAAAAATTCACCAGGAGTGGTTGTGGGCACCTGTAATCCCAGCTACTTGGGAGGCTGAGGCAGGAGAATCGCTTGAACCCACGAGGCAGAGGTTGCAGTGAGCCAAGATTGCATCACTGCACTCCAGCCTTGGAGACAGAGTAAGACTCCGTCTCAAAAAATAAAAATAAAAAAAAAAATGTAAAAGTAGTTCTTACCTATGCTTCCCTATCTGAGGAAACAGTACTATTCTCCACCTAGTGGGTTAAGCCAAAATTCTAGGAATCATACCTGATGTTTCTCTTCCTTCACTACCCATTACTGTGCCCCATAGACAACCAATGAACAAAATCTGTTGTCTCTATCCCGAAAACGTGTCCAGAATCTGTCCAGTTCTCATTTCCATTGCTACTTCTATAGTTCAAATTTCCATTGTCCCTCATTACATGGCTATAGTAAATTCCTAATAGCCATTTTTATTTCCAATCAAAATCCTAACCTCTGCAGTCCATAGTTCCTATAGCATTCAGAATATTCTTTTTAAAACCTAAATCAGTTTTTGTTACTCCCCTTCCTAAACCCCTCAATGCTTTTCTTTACCATTTGGAATGAAATCCAAACTCGACCATTATCTAAGTTATCCGTCAAGTTTCTGGCTCTCTCATACCCCACACAACTCCCAAACCGCTCTAGACACTCTGGCCTTCTTTATGTTCCTTAAACTCTCCAAGCTCATTCTCACCGTTGGGTCTTTGCACTGAACCTCGTGCCACCAGGCCTTTCTTAGGCCTGATTTTTGTCATTTGGATGTCAGCTCTAATATCTCTGCAGTGAATATTCCCTGACTACTGAATCTAAATTAGCACTCCTCCATTACCCTTATGCCATTGTCTCATTCCATCACCATGGTATCTTATTAATGCATTTATTTTCTTGTGTGTTGTCTATCTCACTTCATCTAAGACATTATCATTATTACCAAAATACTGAAATCTTATCAATATTTTTTATCTTATATTAGGAATAATATTTGGCA
Source organism: Homo sapiens (assembly GCF_000001405.40). NCBI lineage: Eukaryota > Metazoa > Chordata > Mammalia > Primates > Hominidae > Homo > Homo sapiens. The sequence goes on along the minus strand of NC_000006.12, from coordinate 97,910,348 downwards.
AGTAAGGGACAGTCAATATTTATTGAATGAATTTTTTTGGAGGATATATTTATGTGGAAGTTAAAGGCAATTTTATTCCCCAAAATCACTTGTTTGTTTGTATATTTTTTATTTGTTTTACTTATATGAAAAAATGAAAAAGTGAGGAATATATTCAAAAAAAAGAAAAAGGAGAGAAATGCTACATTGGAATGGAAAATTTTTCATAAAATAAGAATTTGTCATAATTGGAAGGTTAGGGAACTGTTGCTTGATATGACAACCATTCTGGGGAAGGACACTAAAGCATAAAGCAAGCACTCATACTGCAGTATCCATTAATCAAGTTTATAGCAGCCACATGTAGCACCACCAGATGCTGAAATTTTTAGTGCCTAAAAAATCTTGGATTTTATACTAGACAGTTGCTAACTGGGGGTGCACAGCAAGTCACATTACTGCCCTCTTATCCACAGAGCTTAAATAAAGGCTCTTTGGTCAGCTCCTATAACCTTAGGAACAAATATTCCCTTTGACTACATCTAGGGGCTTGGGGTGTCATCTAGTCTTATTAAGGGGAGAAAAATGACATCATCCTAGAAAAAATAAAATTTCATTTCTATCTTAATGGTGACACTATCCTGGAAAGTCAGCCTCTTCCTTTCAAAATAGTGGTTAATGGCAACATTCAAAAGAAAATAAAATGGCCCAATCAGGCAGAGGGTATGAAAAATGCAACTAGCAAACTCCGTGGCCTCGGTGACTGGTTGGGCGTGGTGGGATCTTTAAGTAAATAAGCCTCCTTAAAATACGGTCAGCCGCAGAGCACACAAGCTGGAATAGAGAAATGGGAAACACAGAGCAGGAGCATGCAGCAACCACAAGGAAAGCAAAAGACACAAAAGGAGCCCAGAAACAGTAGTCTCTGAGAGAGAAAGTGATGGAGAGCAGAACTTTTAGTGTGCCACTGCCAGAAGGAGAAACTGTGCAGGGAAAAGTGAAAAAAGGTGAAGATCTAGCAATGAAAGCAGCAAAGGCCTTGAATTGCTAAAAATGGAACACAGAAAAAAAGTCATCCGTACACTTCCTCCACTACATGTGAGAAAATGGCTAGAAGAAGTCTACTGAGAAATCCAAGCATAATTCATTGTATAAGGAGAGTTAAAAGGAAGGAATTAGAACCTGTACCACACACTGCTGGTTATGTTTAACTTAATTGATTCATAAATACGGCCATTAGTTAATAGATGGTGTCAGATCTGTTTATCTACTACATAAACCCATTTTTAAAAATTTAAGTTTCAATTTATAAACCTTATCAGATAACCGATTGTTTCCCATACACTAGAGCTCTGAATAATAATCAAGTGCCAAGAAGAAAAAGCAGATTATTCAGATTATTCTCTCTCTCTCATTTTATTTTTTTTTGATAGGATTTTGCTTTGTTGCCTAGGCTGGAGTACAGTAACATGATCATGGCTCAACCTCTTGGGCTGAAGCAATTCTCTTGCCTCTATCCCCTGAGTAGCTGGAACAGGTGAACACCACCATGCCCAGCTAATGTTTTTAATTTTTTGTAGAGACAGGTTCTCATTGTGTTGCCCAGGCTAGTCTCAAAGTCCTGGCCCCATGCGGTCTTCCAGCCTGAACTTCCCAAAGCACTGGGATTAGAGGCATGAGCCACTATGCCCAGCCATATTACTCTTGATTTTATCTGCCAGGACCCAACTTCCCTAACAGAGAGGAGGGAGAACAGGATAATAAATTGAAGAGTGGAATCAACCAAAATGCCCATCAACAGTAGACTGGATAAAGAAAATGTGATACATATACACCATGGAATACTATTTAGCCATTAAAAAAAAACAAGATCATGTCCCTTGCAGGAACATGGGTAGACCTGGAAGGCATTATCCTAAGCAAACTAAGGAATACAAAATCAAATACTGCATGTTCTTATGTGGAAGTGAGAGCTAACCAACAAGAACACATGGACACAATGAGGATAACAACAGACACTGGAGTCTACTTGAGGGTGAAGGGTGGGAGGAGGGAGAGGATACGAAAAAATACCTTTCAAGTATTATGCTTATTACTCGGGTGACATAATTATCTGCACACCAAACCCTTGTCACACACAGTTTATCTATATAAAAAGCCTGAACATATAACCTTGAACCTAAAATAAAAATTTTAAAAAGAAACAATAAACCGAATAGTGAAAAATCATGAGAATGCACGAACTAAATGAAAAATACAAAAGATAAATGAAGTACACAGGTGTTTATTTTCTTTAATACAGGATCAATAGAAAGTGTCTTACCAGGCCGGGTGTGGTGGCTCACGCCTATAATCCCAGCACTTTGGGAGGCTGAGGCAGGCAGATCATGAGGTCAGGAGATCAAGACCATCCTGGCTAACACGGTGAAACACCCTCTCTACTAAAAATACAAAAAAATTAGCTGGGCGTGGTGGCAGCGCCTGTAGTCCCAGCTACTCAGGAGGCTGAGGCAGGAGACTGGTGTGAACCTGGGAGGTGAAGTTTGCAGTGAGCCGAGATAGCGCCACTGCACTCCAGCCTGGGTGATACAACGAGACTCTGTCTCAAAAAAAAAATAAAGTGTCTTACCAAAAAGAAAAGATGAAAGTGGATAGGCTTTTCTTAGGGCATAAAAGTAACCTAAACTATCTGAGAGATTGAGAAATGTTTCCTTTCTCTTGATTGTCTGAGTGCTTATAGAGGAAGGAGAAAAACAATCTATTTAGCCAGAAGAAAACAATATTTTGAGCCTATGTGTGTCTCTGCACGTGAGGTGGGTCTCCTGAATACAGCACACTGATGGGTCTTGACTCTTTATCCAATTTGCCAGTCTGTGTCTTTTAATTGGAGCATTTAGCCCATTTACATTTAAGGTTAATATCGTTATGTGTGAATTTGATCCTGTCATTATGACGTTAGCTGGTTATTTTGCTCGTTAGTTGATGCAGTTTCTTCCTAGCATCGATGGTCTTTACAGTTTGGCATGTTTTTGCAGCGGCTGGTACTGGTTGTTCCTTTCCATGTTTAGTGCTTCCTTCAAGAGCTCTTGTAGGGCAGGCCTGGTGGTGACAAAGTCTCTCAACATTTGCTTGTCTGTAAAGAATTTTATTTCCCATTCACTTATGAAGCTTAGTTTGGCTGGATATGAAATTCTAGGTTGAAAATTCTTTTCTTTAAGAAGGTTGAATATTGGCCCTCACACTCTTTTGGCTTGTAGAGTTTCTGCCGAGAGATCCGCTGTTAGTCTGATGGGCTTCTCTTTGTGGGTAACCCGACCTTTCTCTCTGGCTGCCCTTAACATTTTTTCCTTCGTTTCAACTTTGGTGAATCTGACAATTATGTGTCTTGGAGTTGTTCTTCTCGAGGAGTATCTTTGTGGCATTCTATGTATTTCCTGAATTTGAATGTTGGCCTGCCTTGCTAGGTTGGGGAAGTTCTCCTGGATAATATCCTGCAGAGTGTTTTCCAACTTGGTTCCATTCTCCTGTCACTTTCAGGTACACCAATCAGACATACATTTGGTCTTTTCACATAGTCCATATTTCTTGGAGGCTTTGTTTGTTTCTTTTTTACTCTTTTTTCTCTAAACTTCTCTTCTCGCTTCATTTCATTCATTTGATCTTCAATCACTGATACCCCTTATTCCAGTTGATCAAATCGGCTACTGAAGCTTGTGCATTAGTCACGTATTTCTCGTGCCATGTTTTTCAGCTCAGTGCTGGGACAACCACTACTCTCTTCAAAGCTGTCAGACAGGGACATATTTAAGTCTGCAAATGTTGCTGCTGCCTTTTGTTCGGCTATGCCCTGACCCCAGAGGTGCAAATTGAATCCAGCAGCACATCAAAAAGCTTATCCACCTTGATCAAGTGGGCTTCATTCCTGGGATGCAAGGCTGGTTCAACATACGCAAATCAATAAACACAATCCAGCATATACACAGAACCAAAGACAAAAACCACATGATTATCTCAATAGATGCAGAAAAGACCTTTGACAAAATTCAACAGCCCTTCATGCTAAAAACTCTCAATAAATTAGGTATTGATGGGATGTATCTCAAAATAATAAGAGCTATTTATTACAAACCCACAGCCAATATCATATTGAATGGGCAAAAACTGGAAGCATTCCCTTTGAAAACTGGCACAAGACAGGGATGCCCTCTCTCACCACTCCTATTCAACATAGTGTTGGAAGTTCTGGCCAGGAAAATCAGGCAGGAGAAAGAAATAAAGGGTATTCAATTAGGAAAAGAGGAAGTCAAATTTTCCCTGTTTGCAGATGACATGATTGTATAGCTAGAAAACCCCATTGTCCCAGCCCAAAATCTACTTAATCTGACAAACAACTTCAGCAAAGTCTCAGGATACAAAATCAATGTGCAAAAATCACAAGCATTCTTATACACCAATAACAGACAAACTGAGAGCCAAATCATGAGTGAACTCCCATTCACAATTGCTTCAAAGAAAATAAAATACTTAGGAATCCAACTTACAAGGGATGTGAAGGACCTCTTCAAGGAGAACTACAAACCACTGCTCAATGAAATAAAAGAGGACACAAATAAATGGAAGAATATTCCATGCTTATGTATAGGAAGAATCAATGTCATGAAAATGGCCATACTGCCCAAGGTAATTTATAGATTCAATGCCATCCCCATCAAGGTACCAATGACTTTCTTCACAGAATTGGAAAAAACTACTTTAAAGTTCATATGGAACCAAAAAAGAGCCCGCATTGAAAAGTCAATCCTAAGCCAAAAGAACAAAGCTGGAGGCATCATGCTACTTGACTTCAAACTATACTACAAGGCTACAGTAACCAAAACAGCATGGTACTGGTACAAAAACAGAGATATAGACCAATGGAACAGAACGGAGCCCTCAGAAATAATAACACATATCTACAACCATCTGATCTTTGATAAACCTGACAAAAACAAGAAATGGGGAAACGATTCCCTATTTAATAAATGGTGCTGGGAAAACTGACTAGCCATATGTAGAAAGCTGAAACTGGATCCCTTCCTTACACCTTATACAAAAATTAATTCAAGATGGATTAAAGACTTAAATGTTAGACCTAAAACCATAAAAACCCTAGAAGAAAACCTAGGCAATACCATTCAGGACGTAGGCATGGGCAAGGACTTCATGACTAAAACACCAAAAGCAATGGCAACAAAAGCCAAAATTGGCAAATGGGATCTAATTAAACTAAACAGCTTCTGCGCAGCAAAAGACACTACCATGAGAGTGAAAAGGCAACCTACAGAATGGGAGAAAAATTTTTGCAATCTACTCATCTGACAAAGGGCTAATATCCAGAATCTACAAAGAACTCAAACAAACTTACAAGAAAAAAACAAACAACCCCATTAACAAGTGGGTGAAGGTTATGAACAGACACTTCTCAAAAGAAGACATTTATATAGCCAACAGACACATGAAAAAATGCTCATCATCACTGGCCATCAGAGAAATGTAAATGAAAACCACAATGAGATCCCATCTCACACCAGTTAGAATGGCAATCATTAAAAAGTCAGGAAACAACAGGTGCTGGAGTGGAGAAATAGGAACACTTTTACACTGTTGGTGGGACTGTAAACTAGTTCGACCATTGTGTAAGACAGTGTGGCGATTCCTCAAGGATCTAGAACTAGAAATACCATTTGACCCAGCCATCCCATTACTGGGTATATACCCAAAGGATTATAAATCATGCTGCTATAAAGACACATGCACACGTATGTTTACTGTGGCACTATTCACAATAGCAAAGACTTGGAACCAACCCAAATGTCCATCAATGATAGACTGGATTAAGAAAATGTGGCACATATACACCATGGAACACTATGCACCCATAAAAAATGATGAGTTCATGTCATTTGTAGGGACATGGATGAAGCTGGAAATCATCATTCTCAGCAAACTATCGCAAGGACAAAAAACCAAACACCACATGTTCTCACTCATAGGTGGGAATTGAACAATGGGAACACTTGGACACAGGAAGGAGAACATCACACATCGGGGCCTGTTGTGTGGTGGAGGGCGGGGGGAGGGATAGCATTAGGAGATATACCTAATGTAAATGACGAGTTAATGGGTGCAGCTCACCAGCATGGCACATGTATACATATGTAACAAACCTGCACGTTGTGCACATGTACCCTAGAACTTAAAGTATAATAAAAAAAAATATTATTCAAAGAAAAGACATTTCAGTCTTCATTAGTCCATTTTAATGCTGCTAATAAAAACATACCTGAGACTGGGTAATTTATAAAGGAAAGAGGTTTAATTCACTCACAGTTCATCATGGCTGGGAAGGCCTCAGGAAACTTACAATTATGGTGAAAGGGGAAGCAAACATGTCCTTCTTCACACGGCAGCAGCAAAGAGAAATGCCAAGCAAAAGTGGGGAAAGCCCCTTATAAAACCATGAGATCTCATGAGAACTCACTATCACAAGAACAGCATGAGAGTAACTCCCCCTATGATTAAATTACCTCCTACTGGGTCCCTCCCACGACATGTGGAATTATGGGAACACAATTCAAGATGAGATTTGGGTGGGGACACAGCCAAAACATATCACAGTCATGGATACAATATCTAGAAAATAGCCTTAAGCTCACACACAATATCTTAAGTGGGTTATTATACCCTTTTCCCATCCATTTTGAACTGAGATTCCCAAAGCATAATCTCTGAGAATACTTTTCACACAGGTTCTTTAGCAAATATATTCTGACCTCATCCTTCAGAGAGAAGTCTTTTCAAAGGTAGCAAGGGTCTAAAATACACCAATTAAATCTACCTATCTCTCTCTATACATGTATGTATGTATGTATGTATGTATGTATGTATGTATATGTATGTATGTATGTATGTATGTATCTATCTATCTATCTATCTATCTATCTATCTATCTATGTTTTTTAAAGGGCTTTAAAAATCAGATAGCTACAAAAACCAAAGGGATAATGTAGAATTTACCTAGCCTGTCAGAATATGAATATTGATTTTGGAAACATAAACACAAGCAAAAGATTATCTTAATTTCTATAATTGTTAACTAAAAGTTCCAAATTGACTCAATTCATTTTTTATATAGTAAAATAACATCTACTCACAGTCAATTAGGTACAAACATATTCAATATTCACTCAACAAACATTCACTCAAAAGTTTCCTTTATGCAGGATGTGTTTGGCCTTATGCTCAAGGCCATCATTCCCTTGGAGAGCAGGAAAATAACTTTGATCATGTTCTATATCTTATAAACTGCAATATAACATTTATATTCCCAACATGGACATGAAGCCCCAAGACAAAATTCTACTTTTGATCTCAGATTATTCCTCAAAACTACTCAGGCTTTACTTTTTAAATGTATTCTGGTATATAAAATTTAAGGTTTTTGAGAACTTCAAATAGATGTAATGAAAAAACATTATTCAATTGGTTTATTTTAATATATTTGACCCATGATGTTCAAAATACTACTTAGTGATATTTTTTAATGTAGAGATTCAGAGATTTAACAGTATGCAACTTCTTCCACTAAAATATAAAACCATGGTCATATTCATTACACTTAGATCTTTCCAATAGTATGATGTAATTACTATTTTAAGTTCATATGTCTTAAAATCTGATGTTTTAAAAGGCTGTAGGGAAATAAAATTTTAGCTTCTAAAATTCATTATTTTAAAATTTACTATACAATATCAGGAGTTAATTTGAAGTTATCAGCCGAAATGCACATATTTTTTTCTAGTCACATAGTCTAAATGTGTAATAAAATATAGAATATCATTTTCTCTCAAGCATTTCTTGATTATAAGTTATATATAAACCAATCTTTTATGAGTAAATGGATAATGCTAAAATTTGATCTTTTAAAATTAAATATACTTAACGGAGAATATAACACTAAGGAAATCAATCTTTTAAGATATTTTAAGTAGGAATAAATATAAATAAAACTTTACAGCTTCACTTTAAAAATATTCCTCTATCAATTAAACAAATTTTCTTTATTTAAAAATATTTTGCTCATTTTTTCAGTCATTAATTGTCTAGGTACATTTAACTGCACCCTGTATTTCACCTGTAAAAAGTTAAAAGTATACACATTTTTTAAAGAAAGAATAATTAACTTCCTTGAAAATAATTTCCCCTTCTTTCTACAAAAACACAATGAATACTGAATGCTAGTCTACAAAATAATGACATTTAAAATGTAACAATTATCTTTGTATTTCACCAAATAGTATATGTGTTTTACAACTATATTTTTAAAAATTTTAGGATAACACATTTAAATTATAAGATATAGGTATATTATTTGCACATTGAAATTATGAGTGACAGATTAGCATTATTATGAAAGATTTACACATGACTTGGACAAGAAATATTAACAACATTAATAGCTATCATTTATTATATGCCTACTAAGTCCTAGGCCTTATCCTAGGCCCTTTGCATATATCATTTTTAATAGTCACAACATTCCTGCAAGGCATAGGTTATTTTTTCATTTTTACAGCTGGTGCAACTGTGATTCAGTCCAAGTAAGCACTTGCCTGAGGCCAAACAAGTGGAAGAGCTGGAATTCAAACTCAAATCCCTATCAATTCTGTTTAGAAGACTTTGACTTTATTCATCTATGATAAATTATGTGTAAATATGTTTCCTATTTTTTCAAAATTCACTATCAATTAAAATGTTTCCAAAAGCGACATCTGACAACAAAGCAGCCACAGGCTTCATTAAGGTATTGAGGCATTTGGGAACCACGCTACTGATATTAACAAAACTCAAAATTTAAACTTTAAAACTTCACTATTTGTAGTAGGATAATCATGTTTGTTGAGACAGAAGTGATTTCACCTTCATTTTCAAACATCTGTTTAAGAGTATCCTTTAGAAACAAGGTGTAGCTGAACCATGATAACTATTGTGTACTAACCACCCCAAAGGAAGGTTTCACTTGTGCTTAATAATAATGCAAACTTTTGTTTTTGTTTTTGTTTTTTGAAATAGCATCTCACTCTGTCACCCAGGCTGGAGGGCAGTGGCCCGATCTCGGCTCACTGCAACCTCCGCTTCCTGGGTTCAAGTGATTCTTGTGCCTCAGCCTCCTGAGTAGCTGGGATTACAGGTGTGTGCCACCATGCCCAGCTATTTTTTTGTGTTTTTTGCAGAGATGAGGTTTCGCCAGGTTAGCAAGGTTCATCTTGAACTTCTGGCCTAAAGAAATCCGCCCATCTCGGCCTCCCAAAGTGCTGGGATTACAGGCGTGAGCCACTGCACCCAGCCCAATAATGTAAACTTTAGTTGAATGCTTACTGTTGTTAGCTAAGTGCTTCAAATGCATTATTTAACTTTTACAACATCCTTATGAGGAACGATCTTTTGATTTTAAACGTAAATAAACTGAAGCACAAACTATATGAATCAGTTTACTCACAGCCAAGCAGCTAATAAATAGGAAAGCTAAATTTAGACTTCAAATTTGCTCAGCTCCAAAGTCTAACGTTCATAACATCTACCTTGCTCTACACACAGTGGTCTTTAGAAATGAACATCATCCAAATCTCCACATAAGGAATGGGGTTTGGGCCTACTAGGACTGCACTAGTGAACTGAGCCTATAAAAAGGAGGGCTACAACCTTGTCCTGCCTTCTTACCCCATTTCAACTCAAGAATTTATTTCTTCACTTGGAAAGTGAACTCTATGTATTAGGTAGTCTCTAAGATCCATTTAAGTAATACAATTTTTAAGATCCTGTTAGTGTCTTTCTTTTCTGTAACTGAACAGTGCTACTAAAAATATCTCCAAGGGTTTGTTATTGTTTTGCTATCATTTCTATCTCTTCCCATGGGCGTTTTAGAGGTTAAGTGAACTATGCGTATTAGAAGTCATATAGTGTGACTGGAGCCACAGAGCGCTGGCTCTTGTCCCTGCTCTGCTAAGGCATGTGTAACCTCAGGGAAGTAACACAAACTGTCTAAACTTCAGATGTGTGTGTTTTGTTTTTTTTTTTTAATCCATAACCTGAAAAAAATTCTAGTATTTACCCCAAAGGACCATGTGAGGAAAAAATTAATGTCAAAGTGCTTGGCACAGAGTAAACTCAAGAGAACTTAACAATGATTATTTTTTATTGTTATTGTTATTATGAAACTGAGAGGTTATGCTATGCAATTTATGTGAAATCATTTAAAATCACAAAAAGTTAATGAGGACAAAATATTCTCTGCTAATGTACTCTAGATGAATTTTAAAATTATATTTATATGTATATATGTGTATATCTCTCCATCTATATGTATAGACACATAGATATCTGGTGTTAGACACCCACTTAAAAATTCAATTTTGATATGAATTTTGGTCTCTTTTTTTCCTCAGTATTTTTAGATGGCATGGCTGACAAGATCAGCATCAGATATAGATAGAATGATAATATGCAAAAGCACACAGAACTCTCACATATATAAATGCTGTTGAGTTATTTTAAGACATTTTGTGGAAACTACTAAAGTGGTGGGGATGGGACAATGATGCATCAACTGAATTAATCACTATCATCACTCTTCTAAAGAAAAAACAAAGCAAGTTCAGCACACTCAATCATCACGAACACAAGGAGAATGGAGCTGCATAAAACCAGGGCTGGGTCCCCCGTTCTCTGGTAGGCAATATTAAAAATCTGCAGCCATTGTAGACTGCTCCACACTACCTAATTCTGAAATATCTATTTATAAATACCAGAAAGGGAATTTTTTGTTTGCCTACTTGTCTGCTTTTTATTTATTTATTTATTTATTTGGTTTCCTTACAAAGATAAAATGGAACTGCTATAAGGCTGCAGAAAGTCCTGAAACCAGACATTTGAGCCTATCAATGAAGAATTCACCTGATGGTAAGAGTAAAAATGACATAGATAGTAAGTGTCAAAGACATGTCATTGAGAAAGGCAGCTTTCTTTTCACAAAAGGTGTCAATTCTAAGATGTGAGGTTGTGTAAGTCTCACCAAACCTCGGATGTCAATGTGGGAGCAATTCCACAGCATCTAGTTTTTCGCACATTTTTTTTCACAGATACAGTTGTTTGCCACTGATCCAAATGCATTTCTCTCCCGTGTACTATTATTCAAGGATAACCCAGATACCAAGGATATCTTTATAATAAAGACTAGGAAAAACAGGCAATAGGCTCCTTAGTGACTTGCTTCAGCAAGAACTGGTATGAAAGTGGTAACATAATCAGTTAACCTCAACTGCTCATATATCCCCTTAACTGATCAGTTACCCACAGTCTAATATTTCACCCTGTGATTTATTTAAAAATATAGAAAAGTTAAAGAATAGGTGTATTGTGGCTAGAAGGAAATATACTTGCAACCAATCCAGTTGTGGCAATTTATAAGTAGATTAGGAAAAAGTGGCTGATAGTGTAGATTTTAAAAAATTCAAATTATTTTGCTCTTTATGTATTTATATCACTTTATGAGATATCTTTTCTCTCCATAGTATACTTTGCAAATACTATTCTATACATAAATACTGGGTTTGCCACTACAGACCACAAACAAACATAATACTGCAAAGATGAGATGCTGAAGCAGTAACTATTAGTAATTTTCACAGATACCTGTGAAAGAAGAAAAAGAGAAAAGAAAAAGAGAAAAAGAGAAATGACTACCATTTAGTTCATTCATAGAGATTTAGGAATTAAGTATACTTATATTGCTCAACACTCACAATGAGGATCGGGAAACAAATGAAGGGGTCTAAATATTAGAGGCGAGCCTACTATTTTCTGTTTACCTTCACTTACATTTATAATATGTATAATCTTATAATACCATGTGCATTTCTTATTCATGTATAATATAGATCTGTATTATATATGTGTGTTTTATATATGCATCTAATAAAAGTTTATTTCAGCATACAAGAATGAGCAAAAACAAAGGCAAATAAGCAGTTTCTAAACAAATATCATCATCAAAATATACTGCATATGTTCTGTCTAGAGAATATGATTCCAATTATAGATATCAGAGATAGCAACAGTCTTCTGTTTATACCATGTGAAACAGCAGAGCGATGATCACTTAGCTTTTGTTTTGGTTCCAATTCATTTTTTTTCAAGAAGTATAATTAAAAAGTGCATTAATGCCACCAATTATGGCCTCCAAGGGACCAGAAACCCCATGTTACTCCGTGATGGAACACAACTGAGCTGCAAACATCCATTTACCATTATAATGCTCATTAATCCTGCCAAAAACAACTCATTATGGGACTTCAAGGAAATCATCTCATAGGCAAACACAGCACAGAATCTGTCATTGCATTCCTCACAGTAAAGTTAGAGGAGGAAACTCTTCAATGTGTCTAATTTATGAAGCTGAAAACAATAATTTCACTTTTTATCAAGCTAAGACATTTATGTGAAAGAACTGGCCTAAATTCTCTCACTCTTTTAGCAGTCTTAATAAAGAAGTAGCATTGACTCAATAACTCAGTAATCTAAGCCTGCAGAACCTCACTTACCTACTTATCAAATTCTTCCAGAACCCAGTCTCATTTCATTGGACATCAGCACCGTCAGGAGTTTTTCTCCCAAAGTAGTAACAAAAATATCACCACATTCATTGTCATCTTTCCGGTTTGACCTAAAATTAAATGTAAATCCTCTCTCATTCATTAAAACCTTTATAAACTCTCTTATTCTTTAATCAATTGAGCATATTGAAAAATGTCTGATTCTTTTTCAAACCTCAGCTTCAGTGAGGTGCTATACCCAGTAGGAGCTCTCTGAATGCTTGTTGGTGATTTCACTGTTACAGGAAATGTAGCCCTAAAGCACCCTACAGCAAATAAAATGTAGAATTCTCAATTATCACTATTAGATAAGCAATGATTGCAAAGAAGAATTATTAGCAAGGAGATTTATTTAAAATATATTTTCAATTTTTATGTTTCAAGACTAAAAACAAACTGCATATTCTATGTCTTGGCAATACAGTATTTCTTCTGATGCTACAGGAGTCTTTCCCTGAGCAGAAATGATCTACATAAGATGTTTAAAGGAGTTTTAGAAAAAAGCTTAATTACCACCAATAAGCTAAATTAAAAACAATTTGCTTATGTTTAATCTTTTTTACAGTGTTTAAAAGAAATTACAAGAAGAAAATTTGTAAGAAAATTTTTCTTCAGTGACTATATGTTTTCTGTCATAAAATTACTGGAAAGTAAAAAGTACATGATAATATACAGTACCTGAAATCTAATAATTGGCCATCTCTATCAAAATTGCTCCCTCAGAATTTCAACTAATCTTATATTTATGTTTTGAAAAGATCGTTTCATTGAGTTCTAATGTAATCAGTAGCAAAATTAGTTGAGATGGGTTGAATCAATAGGAAAAAGGGGCCTAAAGTGACTTTCTCTACAAATGCTGAAAGTCGATAGTTGGGGTAAAAGGTGAAGGGAAATATACAATTTACACAGTGACGAAATAAAATATATTTCCTTATTGTTTCTTTTCAGTTTTCAGGGTTGGGAATTACATCTTGAGAATAGGTACAAAGCAGGTGCCACATGCTCTCACAGAACACAGGAGTTATTTATGCAATTGTCAATCTTCTAGGCTGTAGAAGTCTACTTCTAGATGATAAGTCCTGAGAAAATTCTGTCTTGTTCACTACTGAATCATTAGCTTTTAGCATCATGTGGAAGATAATCTCTCAGTGTTTAGTGAATGAACAAATCATTGAATATTACCAGGACAATAACCTGAAACAAGCAAATATACACTTTGTGTCATTGCTGTATGTCTTTTTGTTTTACCCCATCCTAATAAGGTAGATCAGCTTTATATTCTATGTCCTGAACCATTAATACTTTCTTTGAGAACGTGTGTATGTTAAGAGCAAAAGCAAAGGTTTTCAAAACTAGGGGAAAAGAAAAAAAAAACACATCCTGGTTTTTGTTGATGGAAGAAAGCGTCCTCACCGCGAGAAGTAGGAGTAAAACAACTGGAAAAGAAATTAATGTCTTAGGCTGAGGGCCTTTTCCTCAGCTTTTGGAACATCGTTTTACTCCCTGCATCTAGAGTCCTAGATGACGCATTACTCTGGAAGGTTTACACCTTTAGAAGCTGGAAGGCTTGCTCAGAGCTGGAGAGGAGCAGATCTCTCTGGAGAGGAGCTAGACTGAGTGGGATACATGAGATGTTGGAAGAGCATCCCTGAATCTGCCAAGAGCTGATTGCCCTACTAGGGCAAGCAAAGAAAGGAAAAGAAGAAAATCTTGGCTTAGATTATAGCCCACCCATTACCTAGTATATTCAACCTCAGATAAGACCAGGATCTCTTCATGATCCCACTTTGGGCCAGGACACCAAGAGCTAAAACAGATTAAGTGTGATGTTCAAAAGAGTAATATAAAATTTCTTGTACTCTAATTTTTTGGAGCAAAATTCATACTTAAACAGGATGAATGCCAAAAATTCACACTCCTATTTTTCCTTGCTGGTAGAATTTCAGTATGGATCTTACTTTATCAGACGAAAATTTGATTCAGTTGGAAACTGAAGTGAAGTCTGGCTGGTACTTCCATTTCCTTCCTCAGACTACCGGTAAATAAGTAGCTGTTTCTTCGATCACATCCTTGCTTCCAGGAAGGCATAAAGTTAGATGGGAGAGCATTTTTCTTGTATGGTTTTTGAAACATAAGGAACAATGAATAGAAAATCCTCAATACTGTACCAGTTATATATTGGGTACTAAATCTTGAATAGGTATAGGTGAGGTTAAATATGGAAAATATTTCCACAAAATTGGTATTTTGAGGTTGTAAAAAATGAAATGGCTTCATATTTAATAAGCAAATGGAAGTGGGTCATGTTTGGATAGGTATCATATATTTACATTCTGGGACTTATTCTTTGGAACTTATAAGTGGACTTTTCTCAGGCAATTTTGTGTAAAACAAATTTTGAAATGTTTCTGATCTACGAAATTTTAAATGTCCTTTTATCTTTTAAATTGTTATTTATGTAAGGAAGCTTTCTTTATTGTTTGTGGCTATGTATATTCAATTCCAAAACAAGTTAAATATGAATAATAATAAATAAAAATAATCCTTGGCTGCATTTTACATGTTTCAAAAAGCTAATGTTTAGAAGTAAACTCATTTATAATTTGAAAGTGGGCATTCTTTTGGATTAGAATAATCAGTTCATGAGAAGTGTTCAAAGTACCAAGTACTATGTGTTTCCTAGGGTATACAGTATGGAATTTCCAAATCTCTCTGAGGTGTGCAATCAATATCGTCACAAATGCCAGCTCATTTCTGGATGGCCTAGGTAGAAATCTCTATCACTTCCAAAAATTTTAAAAATAATATCCAACATTTTGTCATTATCAAAATGAAATGTCACCCGCAAGGTGTTGTAAGAGAATGCAAACATTTGCATTTATTAATATAGCCTAATGTGGGTTTTTTTTGGATAAGCGTTCCAGAAATGACATGAATAACTCCAACTATGTAAATAACATACATGATAAATTCTCCATCAGCACATGCATGTGCACACACACACACACACGCACACACACAATAGTGAAACATACCAGAAGGGAAGGAAGAAAAAATTACCACATCTTTAAACAACAAGAGCAAAAACATTTGGCAGAGAACTTGTCTCCTGAAGTCCTGGAGAGGCCAGTCATGCCACATTATCTATTGTTAATAAAAAATTCATGTGGCAAATGCACAAACATTACAGAAATCTTTCAGGGTTAGTTGTTTCATTGATAATCATTATTACCAAGGCCAAGTTAAGACTAATGTACACTTTTATTTTAGAAAATAATTGCTAGGCCATTCCTGTTCTTCTGTTAGCTAATTCAAAAAGTTGTCTCCCATTCCCATTTCTCCTGCCTACCCTCACTACAGGTTTCGTCATCATCATTAAAGCAACCTAAAAATAGATCAATAATCATCGGTATTGCTGCAAAATGTATTCGATAACAGGTTGAAGAGTATTGATGAAATATTTGCTGAATATCCTGCTTAAATATTTGGTCTTCCTTTGATAATGGTGTATTGAGTTTACCTGAGTTGACATACAGGATAACACTTTTCACAATTTTATTCCATATGCATCCAGGACTTGTCTTCACTTGACTTGACTCAGGTTGCTTCTGACCACTTTTCTAATTTCACACAACCCATTTTCCCAGGTGCTGATTTCTCTTCCACCCTGGGACAATCAACTGCATTATGTTTCTAACACATACATCCCTGGCTGACATATATCTCAATAATATATTTCAAATACCTGTGGAATATTATTTCTAGTGACATTGACTAGCTGACTTTCAGTTATCAAAGATTTAATGCTACAGCCTACAAAAATGATATTTTATTGCCTGATATTTTGTTCCACTGTTTTCACTCACCTATCAGCCTAATAGCAGGACAATTTCTAACTCATTTCTGTAAGTCAGATGGAATAGGTTACCCATAAAATTTAGACCTCAAAATTGTTCATGAAGAAAATAATTGTGGAAGAAAGGTTGTAAAATTTTAAAGTATTTTACTACAAAGGTTTATCTTATTAAAAAATAATGAAAAGTATCATATGCTCCTTCTGAAATGTTTCAGAACATCATACAAAATATTATAACTTGAGGCAATCCTATAGTATGGAAGGTTTTGTCACTATCTTAGAGAAAATGAAAGACATAGTGTCAAAATCCAAAGGCACCCTAGCCATAGACTTTGGCCTTGGCTTAACAGGTTTTATGATGTAAAAGCCATGAGGTGTACCATAAGACAATGTTCAAACAACTGAAGGCGATAAACAAGTGATACAAATTAGAAATTTATGAAATTCCAGTCAAGAGACATGGTGGCAAGCCAATCTTTGGGCAGAAGTTATAGAAAATAGCTATAGATGTTTTCTAAATTCTGAAAAGCTTAAATATTTGGTAATTCAAATGTTCTATCAAGAAACTAAGACTTTTAAGTAATTTTCAAAATTTGTGAAATGAATTTTCATAATGAATGATTCACTACCCTGAATATTTTGTGTTTCTTTTGGTAACATGTGTCAGGCACTTGTTAGAGGCTCAGTAATGCTGGATAAATTGAACTGAACTCTAATGATGAAACACAATTTATTAAATATAGCAGGAGGCAGAATAGCACTCCAGCAAGAATAGACATCTTGAAGTTTGAGTATTGGCTTCCCACTATTTAGCTGTCTAACCTTCAGGAAATTGCTTAACCTCTTTAGGTATCAGTAAATTTATCTGTTAAATGTCACAATTAGACTTTATTAAGTGAAAGATTCAGTGCATTAATGATATATGTATCTTACACATAGTAAGAGCTCAGTAGGTAATACCTTGTATCATTTAACGTGTTTACAAATAAAAATATATAGATTCATAATAGATAGGAAATAATGCAGGAATGCAAACATGTTGCCATAATAAATAAAATACAGCTTTTAAAAATTTTATTTCAGCTAATATTTTGAAGTTTTATTTTCTAACATAGCCGTAATACAATTTCAATCAACCACAAAAATGCTTATTTCATATGTATACAGAAGTAACAGCACATATTTTATAGATATGTTTATAATGTATCAAATAAAATAATAATTCAGTAAGACCATTTGAAGAAACTCTATGTGAATACTTTTAGAAGAAAAACAATTTAAAAAATAATCACCCATCTAATGTTGTTTAGTTTGTAGAGCAATTTGAATATCGTTTCTCCTGCTATCTTCAAGGAAGTATTATTCAAAGGATACTAAGTTTATGAATAATTCTTCCCTAGGTTTGAAGGGACTTAGAAGGAGTATGAAGCTCCCAGAGGTTATATGCTCAATTTCCTCAAGAGCCTACAGCATTAAAAACGAGCTTCATTGATCAGAAATCCTGCTGGTGAGGGTGCAAATACCGTGGATGCTATGTGTCCTTTACTAATATAGTGTCTTAGAGATGATGCAGCTGTTTAGTTGGAGTGTCTAAGCATAGCCATGGGCATTGGTAGACTGAGTCACAGGATATATCCTATGCATACCAGTTAACTGGCTCTTCAAGCAAGTCTCTGAATAGAGTGCTTGAATTTTTTCCTCTGGAATACCAAGAAGACCAGCCTTTTTTGGGAGAGAGTGGCAGTAATTTCAATCTCCACTGGAATCATCCCAGAGATGAATGAGTTTTCCATCCAGAGGTAGATAAAGAATTAGAGGCTACTATATACAGCTTCAAGAATTTTCTGAATAGAGGAAGGAGAGAAGGGAACCCACTGGCTGATCAATGGCAAAATGTGGTACCTGGCAGCCATGCAAGGAGCTCCTCAGACTGGAAAAGAGTCCAGAGGATTTAGGAATTGTTGTTTTTATTTTTCCAAAATTTAAATATTATCTCTAACATGGCCTAATCAGTTAAGACATTGAAACAAAACAAAGCCAACCATATCATTCATAGGCCTGTTTTTTTAAGTGCCTTAGTATTACTTCACAGACTCAAAAGCCTTGGACTGTTTTATGATTAAAAGCTAATCATTTCTCTCCAGTGCTCTTTCATTGTTCCCAATACACAGAATGCAGCAAGAAGCTGAATCTTAAGAATGCAACTTTCTGTAAAGTGTCTTAATTATTAAGAATGAACATATTTGGTTAGTAGGACTTCTGTGTAATGAAAACAGACTGAGAAAACTAAAGATTGAAAATAATAGCTGAATATAAGAAAATGTCATTTTTAATTATCTTTACAACTATGGGCTAAAAGTTATTGACTTTGTCCAAACTTTCAAATACAGGATCCTTAAGTTGCAAAGCAATAAGAAGCATAATAGCTTTAAAGATATCAAAAAGGCCTTTGGCTCATGATATATGCAGCGCAGTAAAGTAACAAAAATATAGATCTACTCATCTAAATGAATGAAACATATACAGTGAAGTTGTAGTATCTGATGCCAGATATTGATCAGTAAGAACATAATGAATTGTATGATCTATAAGACCATAATCCTGCTATTAATCTGCCTTTCAGGTCATAATCACATACACTTCAAAAAGCTAAACCAAATAGCAATATGTTCTTCAATTGAATTCAAATTACTGAAATTATATACAAATTAATGTTCACAATTATCCTATGAAAACTGAATGTTTTTAAATGCCTAGTATCAGACTGACTATAAGAGGAAAGAAATGCCATCTTCTCTGTATTGATCAACTTTATACAAATAAATACATTGACACATTTGGATTTTAAAAGGTTCATCTACATTTATTATCTTCTCCACCAGCACAGATGTTAAAAGTAAGCTTTAATACTGATAATGTTCCCATTATGCTGCTCCCAAAGGATATATTTTATTTACTGCCTTGGAAAATTCCCGGTATTAATAGGTTATTAATTTATGTAAGTATTCATTGCTACAGAGGTGAAAGTGTACTTCATCATCAATTTATAGTAGCCAGTGAGTTGAGGAACTGTGTTGCTTCTATAGATTTCATAGGTGTTCTAGTATAACTCTATGCCTTTTGCAGGACTGTCTCCAAACCATATCAGTTAGAAAAATATCTATTACATTTTAATAGGTTTATAAAGATATGACTTACTGAGACTTTACTATTTTAAGTGTTAATAATATTGCAATATAATTTTTCTTTCTTTCCTTTTCATACTCTTGTTCCCTTTTGCTCACCTGCCCTATTCCTAGGATAAAAAGAAAAAAAAAATCAACAACCATGAAAAGCAAAACTTTATTGTTGTCACAAATATCCTTTATAAGTTCAAATTTTTGTTTTAAAAATTTTCCAAACTGTTTCACGACTTGTTCTAAAAACTAAATAATTTGATAGCTTTTTATTGTTTTATTATTTATATCCTGCAGTGTCTCAAATTTCGTCTCAAATTTACTTATATGCAATGTAATAATCTTTTATCTTTTGTCACTAAAATGGGATTTTTCACTGTCTCCTATAACAACTAATTATTAGGACAAATAATATTCACTGTGGAAATTCTTCCTTCATTCCCCTTCTCTGCAGTTTTTAGGATTTTTTTTTCCTTTTCTGTGCACATAAGCAATTAGTCACAATAAGAAACATCCATACTTTTGAAGAACAACAAGATTTCAATCAGCCCATCTTGAATTTTGCACCATTTTTAGTCATGCAAGCAACTATTAGCCTAGTTCTCTTTCCCTCACATATTATGAAGCTTAAAATTGAAAAAAATTGTTTAAGCAGTATAACATATATTAACTACAATGAAAGTGCTATTTCTAGATTTCTGACAATGAGCACCCTACGTGGCTTAATATTAAAAATACATTCATATTTCTATTTCTGTTTTTTACAAAATTATGTATTATAAAATTAATTATGGTGCAAGTAATATATTTTATTTGAGCCATATAAACTCATGCTTGAAATATTACACGTGGTTAAAATTTTCTCTTGGGAATTTAGGAACAGGAAATGCAAGCCAGTAAGATATAATAAAAGAGGAAATATACTAAGTATCAGTAAATAAGCAAAACAAGATAATATTTTGTAAATCTGTTATCTAAAATAATTATAAGTCTTTTAAACAAAAACACTTAAAAGACAACTTCATACTTCATGAAGTATGAATGTAAGAAAACACTTTGTATGTCATTTATTGACAGGTAAAAGTGCATAAGCTTTGACATTTATTGACAGAAAAAGGAATATAAATTTCACGAGAGTAAACATTTTGTCTGGTTTGTTCACTGATGCATTTCTTAGCACCCGGAACACTGTTTGGCACTCATTCAACAAGTATGTGTTGAATAAAAAGAAAGCATATTTTCCTAAGGAAACATTTTCTTCATACCTCTTTCACTCTCTTCCTTTTCTCTTTCAGTTCTTGCATATTGGATTTATTTTATTTTTACTTTTTTATCTCTGGGCCTCTTCCCTTCCTCTTCCCCCTAATTATTCTTCACTCTTCACTATGCAGTTTTATAGTCATTACCTTAGGGGAATCTTCCCTGATCCAAAAAACCAAGGTAGTTTTCGCCCCTTTTTTTCTCCTATATCATTTTGATTTCCCTTTTCGTGAAATTCCTCACACTGGTAATAATTGTTTTAAAGCTTGTGCTCCTCAACTAGATTATAAGCTCTATTAAAGAATGCACTGTATCTAACCTATTTTTCTGTTCAAACTTAGGACCATATGCCTGGAGTGTGGTGAGTTTTCAACAAATATGTGATAGCTAAATAGAGGAAGGATGGAAGGAACAAAGGGAGAAAGGAAAATAGGGGTGGAGGGAAAGGAAAAAGAGAGGGAGGGAAAGAGGGAGGGAGGAAAGGACGGAGGGAGGAAGGGAATGAGGGAGGAAGAGACATACTCGTTTTTCTAGGTTCCTGTGAAGGCTTTTTCTGATGTTGCTTTTGTTTGCAAAGATAGCTATTATAATCCAGTGGGCCAAATAACTAGCACTGACATAGAAATCATTACTAGGGTCCCAAACAAGTAGAATAAAATCAAGTTAGAAAAAAGCAATGTGGATACTATTTGACTTCTTAGAAATTCATTGGTAAGTGTAAAGTATGTAGTTCACAAAAATCAGTACACAATACGTCATGACAACATGAACAACAAAAAAAGAACTATATATATATACAATTTATATGCCTTATATAATCTCTATATGTCTGCATGTATTATATGCACATGTATATGTATATACATTGTTATATATACATACTTTTATATGTGTGTATATATTATATATATATGAAACTCCCCACTTATCTACTTATGAAATCTCATCTGTTGCTATGCACCCAATTTAAGCCCTATCAGCTCCTAACATCTTCTTATTCCATGATTTCAGACCAATTATCCACAAAGGTTCTACCTCTTTGGGACTCAAAAAACACTTGTAATTTTTCAAAATGATCACTATTACATTAACTATGGAGTTGTAGATGTGTATGCCCCCTAAATGCATAACACTGATATACTTATTAATTCTTGTGGTCTCTTTCTTTTTAAAGCAACTAGTGTCTGGTGACAATCTTGAGAATTATTTTGACCTTCATTACAGGGTGGCTGAGAACCAATGGTGTAGCAGATGTGTTTTCCACTATAAAAGTATGCAAAATATAATAAAGGAGATTAAAACATATGTGGTTCTTTGAAGTAGAGAATAATGTTTGGCCTTTCAGAAAAACATTTACCAAAAATTTTCTTTCAACAGTTATCTAGCTGGGCATGGTGGCAGATGCCTGTAATCCCAGCTACTCAGGAGGCTGAGGGAGGAGAATCGCTTGAACCAGGAAGTGGGCGGTTGCAGTGAGCCACGATGGCACTACTGCACTCCAGCCTGGAGACAGAGCAAGACTCCGTCAAAAAAAAAAAAAAAAAAAAAAAAAAAAGATAAAACAAAAAAAACCAGTTATCTCCCCAATAGTATGTCAAATATGAATCAATTATGTGATTTTTCTATGCCTACTATGCTACTATGTGCACAGAAGTTTGATGCTATCAGGTTAAAAATACTTGGATTTGTAAAAAACTTCCTATTTCTGTCTAATAAGTAAAATAATAATATAAATATAGTTATGGGGAACTAGCATTTAGCTAGCATATTTACCTGTGAAAAGTTTATAGATGCATGCATACTTAGGAATTTCAGCTTGTGTTTAAAAACATGCCATTCTGTTTCATATATGCTTATTATTTCAACATTTACACTAAAATATTTATGAAAAATAAAGATAATAAGAAATAATATTTTTCAGTATGGCTATAGTCCCATGTGTTGTAGATATTCCATTTTATTACAAAGGGATAATTATAGCTTTTAGCCTAAATTTTTTAAAAAGTATCAAATTATGCTTCATATATGCTTGTTTTTACCTTTTAAACTAAGCTATTTATGAGAAACAAAGACGCTAAAAAGCAATATGCCCCTAATGTGGCTAAAGTTCAACTGTATTTTAGATATGTTGCTCTAATCTACTAGGGAAATCATTTTCAGAATAATAGAATATAGTTAACTTTTGTGCATGTCATATGGAAATTAATATCATCCATTTATAAGCACCTTTTATGTCAAGAAGTAGAGTCATGATTTACAGGAATATGTTAACTTGCTATAAAAGTATATTTGGTAAACTCATTAACGACATTAACCCATAATTCAATGATCATTTGAAACTTGATTGTGCAAAATTATTAATTTACTTAGCTTATCACACTATCCATTGTGGAACACAAACAAGTCTCTCAAACCCTAAATCTATTATGTTATTAGCATATCAGAGTATTTTCTCCTTATCAACTCAGCAATAACCAAATTCTACAGCACTATCAGAATTAATTTACTCAATAAATTTGCTCCCAAAAAGTTTCTCATGAACTAAGTTTTTATAATTATTTTAATCAAACTTTTGACTTCGATCTTTTTAATCTAAATTATTTTTCAAATCCATATTTTCCTTTACTATTATTTATAGTGTCTCATACCCACAGAAGGAAGTTGGAAATGGAAATCCATGTGCATTTTTTTTCTAGTTCCAGGCTTTTCAAAATAATTAGATGTCTACAAATAGTAAAAGGTGAAACAACAAATGCACTGGAATATTGCTACTATATTCAGATTTTGATCTTCTAAAGAGATTTAATTGAGACATTCCCCATAAATATATACCAGTTTATCCTCTAGCTGACAAGTCCTACTGGGCAATAATGTTTTGTACTCTAGGCCATGGCTCTGTTATTATTCTCAAAAATAGTCTTTAGTCTCATGCTAAAATGTATAAACACATATTTATGCTCACAGTATGAAGTGTAGATTATGCAGCTTTGAAAATAGACATTTAAGGCATTTTCTCCCTTTTAAAAGGAGCTATGTCCCTTAATTTTATGCTAAATGGTGTTTTCTTTACTGTATATATAGCCATTGCATTTCTATAACAAATAGTTTCATACTTTGATTAGAATACTGAGCATGATTTCATTTCAGTGTTCGGAGCCTGTCAAGTTCACATAAAATAAAATATAAAAACAACCATCCTTGTATTAGCAAGCAAACTACCCTTCAGTGAGTGCCACCATCCCCCTGAGCTACAGAACTGGTTAGCGCCAGCCTCCCCTGAGTTTACAGCAAATTACTGAAAGCAGGGCTCGCATAAAATTAAATCATAAATTATCTGACTGCTATCTCGCTGCCTTCTGATATAGACTTTCTACACATTTTAAGTGGAACTGACGTGAACAGAGCTCACTTACTTGCAGCTGCCAGCTGAAGGTGCAAATATAGAGGTCACCTCCATGCACCCTTTGTTGCTGTCACCTTTGAACTGTTCCTAAATTACTAGGTGTTAAAAAAAAAAAAAGGAACCTGATATCACAGCCAAGCTGCTTAGTCTTTAAAAGGCAGCTTTCTTGTGCTATAACAACTAATTTAGGCAAGTATGCCAGTCATGCACGGCTAGCCCATGAAAGTAATAAGGATCCCACGCAGGCCAGCAATTTTCACAAGCATCACCAAAAAGAAAAGAAAAAGAAAGGAGAAAAGAGAAAAAGAAAAAAAAAATAGGTGACCCTACCTCTATCGGTTTTCTCACCATATGAAATAAAATTTCCATGTGGCACTTGTATCTGATGCACAGCATGGTGATTTATCAAAGATGCAAAGAGCATGCAGAAACAATCTTTATTACATCCATTTCCTGCTTGTCAGCTGAGATCATGTTGGCTGTTCATTAAAGAACTCATGCAGGTGAGAGGAATATATCTCGATACCTTGATAGATTGTCCGCTTCCCCTCTGTGACAGCCGCTGGATGGATTGAGCAGCGGGGAAAATGAAGAAAAGCGCTGACTCGAAAGCTCTGCTGTCAGATATATTTTTACATAGGCAACCATGTCATTTCAGCTAAACAAACATCTCCTCAGTGTAATGTATTAGATCTAAAGCCCTACCCCCTACTTGCAAGGGAAACAATTATGGGGATTATGTTCAGTGATAATGTAAAAATGTAATAAAGAATTAAAACTGAAGAGCACGGTGTTACAGTCTTGTTTTTCTTTTGGCCTCCATTGTTATAACAAATAAAAGTAGCCAACCAACAAGGCAAAGCCTGCTAACAAAGTTGTTAATGAAAGAGCATCAAATAATTAAAGCATTTGAACTAAATAAAACAGTTTATGCCAGAATTCAGAGGAGTCATCACTGTTATTACCGTCATAGCTAATAAAAATCATAGACGTGCTTGGAGATGTATTTAAATTCTTTTTGTTTCACATTTCACCTTGGCACCACTGCTTCACACTCCAATCAGACTGTAATATGGGAAACAATATTCCACAGCGATTGTGCCTTTGGATGCTGACAAGCCAGCAAACAAGAAATATACAGCATCAATTAAAGAGATCAATTTATTACCAAATTACTTAGCAACAGGTTTTATTCTAGAGTCTGCTCAAAAAAGAAATCCCAGAAAACAGTTGAAAGTCGATTTAGAAGAAGGTGAATATTTCGCTTCATCTTAGGCCTCCTTCAGCGGATTTTCAGTATAAGCATTGACTTTTGTGCCAACTTTTGCTTTACAGCATTCATAACCCTCCCATCCCCAGGTCTAAAAAAATTTAGGACTATTAACAAGTGATTCATATATATAACAATACCTCTTTTGCTAGGATCCTGACTCCATCCTAAACAAATGCAAAGCAATGTTGTTTTATCTCATCCTTTATTTATATCCATAAAAATATTCTCTAAACATGTTGCAAGCTATCATCTTTTGAGGGAAATCTATAAACTTCTAAATCCAGACATATGGATTTTATAAAATAGATAATATACAATGAAGAAAAAGTAGATTTGGACCTGCGCAGGACATAATCCTACACATTTAACTAGATAGAATTAGTGGACTAAAGCTAATAATGAATACTGTTTGCAAAGCATCAAACAAAATGAAACACAATTGTCACATGAACTCACCATTTAAAAAAAAAAGCTTTTGTGGAAGTCACATTTTTCTGATTTTTTTCATTTCCACCAATTACAGCTTAGTAAAAGTTTATATCTGTGCACATATTAAATAGCAGTATTAAAATTAAGACAGGGCTTTATTCATAGCATACAGTGATATAGTTTAACATTCTCAGATACATACATGCTGATTTTTTTAAGCCCTAAACTTTCTCCTTGCATTTCAAACACTGGCAAAGCAATTGGACTTTTCTAATTTCCTTGATGATCCAGCAGTGAAGAATAGTTTTGCCATCAGCTTTCCATTGGTATTTACACTAAAGTGGGAAACAATAATAGTAATTCTAGCCAGGGAGCTGTCTGTCAGAAAAGTTAGGGTCATACAAATTATAAAGAAATGTAAAACAGAATTTTCATGAGACCCACCAAAAATATATAAACAACATGAATTTTAGCTAACCCAAATAATCAGAATAAAGTAATAGGTTGCTAAATGGGCTGTGACAAGTCCCCGTGTTCTACCCTGCCCTATTCCTGTTTTGTGACACTCCTCAAGGTCAAGCTGGAGAAAAGTCCTTCTTTATTTCTTGGCCTCCGGGCTGAGAATGCTACCTCAAGTGCCAATTTGCGATTATTGAGATGGCGGTATTCTGAGATATAGACTAAGGCCTTGGGAATTGGATAGAGATCAAACAATTCACTTCTCCCTGGGTAGCAAGCTGACACTGGATGATGATAACTTTTAGCCCCTACCAATATGTTCTAAGTTATACCAATAGCAAGATGTATAAAATTTGCCAATTTATCTAATCATGTCTGAAATTTTACTTTGATAGTACCTTCTGGGAACAAATTATCAATTTTGATTGAGCACTATATATGAATAAAATGTATTACAGATTCAATGCTTTCAAATTTTTCATTCAATATTACAAAGTGCCACCAAAAAATAAAAATGTTCCTGTATACAACTGTCTAGATTTAACCGTGACTGAAAGTAATATGTACAAAGCATAAATGAATAGGTCTGCTTCTAAGTGTCCATTATCTATGATGGTGATCATAATGATACTTTAACTTAGTAAAATGGAAATATGTCAAAGTATGCTGTAAATATCATATATCACGTATATACAATGACTTGAAAAATGTGGAGATATACAAAGTTTAACGTAGCACTCAGTATGTGTGATTTATTAAATGATATGATGCTGATGTTGAAATGTTTATTTTTAAAACCATAACTTTTCTAACAAAGGATCGATGTCAAAATGTAATATTAAGTATAATGACACACAGTAAAATTGATTAGCTTGCAATAACTAATCTTCATAAAACTCTCAGCAAATTTATTATCATTGTGTTATTTATTATAAATCAGTTCAGAAAGGTTAATTAATGCATGCAGAGTCACACAGCTGAAAATCAGCTGATGTGGGATTTGAATTCACAGTCATCTCTCACCAAATTTTTTCTTTCTACTACACCAATGGTTCTTAGACTTTAGTATGCATCGGAATCACCAGGAAGGGCTTGCCGAAACACACGTGGCAGGGCCTCACTCCTGAGTTTCCAATTCAGGCGGTATTGGTTGTGGCTGAAGAAAATTGCATTTGCAACGAGTTCCCAGGTAATAGTAAAATCACTGTTTTAAAAACAAGAATTTGAGAACTCCTATTCTACACTATGATGCCTCTCAGATATTGCTGAAAGGAGAAAAGAAGCAGGCTCGCCTAACTCACCTACCTCAGAGAAAGACGCTTACTCATTAAAAACACAATTCCCGGAGCCACACCGCCTTAATTTGAATCCTGATTCTGCTACTTACAAGATGCATGTCTCTTCTTTTGCCCCAGTATCCTCCTCTGTAAAATGGAGATAGTAAGAGTTTCAACCTCATATGGTTGTTAGAATTACAAGCATCAATATGCATAAAATGCTTAGAGATGGACCTGATATATAGCAAACACTCAGTAAATGTTAACTATTATTATCACAGCACAGCAATTTATTTAAGATTACTGAGTGTTCAAATGAAAAAAAAGACATATTAACTTATATAGTGCCATTTCTGACATAAGAAATACACAAATAGAGGTAGTTTCTGAAACAAAGACCAAAAAAATCTATTGTATGGTGTCTTGTATCAATGTGGCTAAAATTTTCGAGCTAAGTTTTATAAAGACAGATCATATTTCAAGTAGGTGATTTTTGTATTGATCTTCCATAAATTCTGATAGCATAACATACCAGTAAATCATAAATCAGTGAAGGGGTTTCTGAAGTATGTTGGTATAATAGGTCCTAGGCACTTGCTTTAAGATGATTTAGTTTCCATAAGGTTCAAACTCAAAAAGTTTAGATGAATAGAGAGTGACCATATCTATAGACTCTGTCTGAAATATTAGATCTTGTCTGTCATACAGAGTTGGCAAAAAGTACAGCATCAGTTGATTCACCACTGAGTTTTCCAACGATAGTGTTGGCTGACGGGCAGGTAGTATGAGAAATCAGGGACTCAAATATTTTACTATGTTTAGCATATTTAAGAGCAAGACTCCTTTTTAAAAAGAAGAAAGGTTAATTCACTTCAGTGATAGGTATCTGCAATCATATGCATGGGTAGCATGGACCATTCCATATAAGGTAAATAAATAGAAAGAGGAATAGAGAGCAAGAGGACTGGAGTGAGGATTTTCTCTATAGAAAAGTAGTATGGGACTTTTTCAACTTAGGGGAAAGCCCAGACAGTATAAAGAAGAAAAAGTGTCAGTAAGAGAAAATAATAACCAAATTAATTTAGTAAAAATTATATAGAGAATTTTTCCTTTGCCAATATTAAAACACAAACAAGACTTTGTTTGTTTGCTGTGGCAGCCAGTATTGAAAAATATAGCTTTTTCTTACTAAAGAGCAAAGTTATTTTTACTTTGGCAAACTTCAGAGCAAATGCCCCCTCCAGTGACAGATCAAATTCTCATAGTTCAGCTATTTACAAGAAAGAACAAATCTATTTTCACTATGTTGTTGAAGGTCTCTAATATCTGTGAAGAATCCTCACTATGCCATTTCCATAGTAATTTAGAACCTAAACGCATTCTATTACTCAAAAAATTAAAAGTAAATACTAATCTAACAAACCTTTCAAAACCTGTAAACAAGAACTTCAAATTCCAGGGTCACTTTTACTTTATAATACTTTAATATTTGTAATGCCTCTTATAGACATCATATTCATGAGTATTTACAGTATCTGAAACTCTGAAATGTCCCAGGAGTAGCAAAGGAAGTTCTGAGGGCTTTTATATGGTTCCTGTTGCTAAGGTAACCACATGCTTGATATCCATGTGTTCGACATGTCACTCTCGTTTTGTGTCTGGCTCTCAGAGAGCCAGCACTGGTGCATGGCATCAAAGAAACACAAGAAATAAAAACAAGACAAAAGACCATGGGAACTGTTTCTTCTCAAGTATTATATATATATATATATATATATATATATATATATATATGTACATATATACACGCACACACACATATATATATATACATATAAAATAAACACTTGCATGGTAATGTTGAAATTCTTAAATTCCTAAATTGAAGTTATAAAGAAATTTAATGTGAAAGTACTAATATATCAGGGTTTTCTATAGATAAGATTATTAAACACTGTCAGAAAATAAAAGGAAACAAGTTCATATATGATCAACTATAGAATAACATGTACACATGAACCAAAAGCAAAGGAATATTGAATCAGTGTGTAAAATGCTCAATAAACTCAATACACCATTATAAAAGGTTATTTCCACTTTCAATGTACCCACAGAAATGTCTAAATACCAAAGTCAGTTCAACCATGAAAACTTTGATCAACATAAAATAGTCTAATAGAAAAGCAATTTATTCTTATGTTCTTATGTGTTAAATATTAACTCATCTATTAATATTTTGATCACTATTTAAAGCAAAACATTTTCTACATTATGATTCCTTTTATAAATAAAATATATGTAAGTGTAGATTAACAAAAAGCATATTTAAGCAGTTTTACAATAATCGTTTATATAATACTGTGAAAAAATGAGATATTTTCACAAGTCATAAACAAATGGCTTTCCTGTGCCTCATTTTTAAATGCATTTGGTAGTATAGTACACAACTAGAGAGACAAGTAAATGCAAGAGACAATTAAAGATGATTAATCAAACACCACCTTTTTTTTTCTTGAATTTTAGTCTAGGCCTGTTTTTATCTTTTCTGATTTTAATTTTCAGGTTTCAACAATAAAATACAATTCTAAGGTTTATCTTTGCCTTAATATAGCGGTCAGAAATCCAGCAACTTCTTTTGATTTAGCATAATCTTCAGTACACAGTATGAATAGCAACCCAGCTTCCATATTTTTCTTCTTTTATAAGTCCCTGTCTCTCCAACAATCCACAAGTACCTGATAACTCTTTCCAGTCACTGCCTACCAAGATTGAGCCAAAGCTTAAATTGCTGAATATGAAGTATAGAAAGTGCTTCAGTGTCACCCAGCAATGTTAATATATGGACAAATGGTCAAAAAGTAAATTGCATTACAGAGGACACTTCTCAATACAATATAAATATTGTAACATCATTTTAGCATCTTGGCCAGACAAGACTCAGTTTAATGTTCCATTTTTTTTTCTTTAAAAATACTGAAAAGCTCATGACATTAAGATTCTGCTCAAAATGTTTAAAAGTAGAGCAAACATGTAGAAAACACAGACCTAATTCTGACCAATTGCTACTAGGTCTAATAAACAGCACCTATAAGAGTATACATCTTCTCATTCTACTGGAGTATGTTTGAGTAGAAAATACATGATTTAGGCTTCAGCATGCATTGATATAATCTGCTTCTGTAGTGACAGTATTAACAGCTAGTATCTGGGGGATATGAAAAATGAAGTTGGTGAATTGATAAGTTTTGATGAAAATTAAGGAAATATGGAACTGATATTAGTCAGTTTTGCAGATGATGACTAGCTAAATCAAACTGACTCAGAGCACAATACTTTTTAAACCAAAAATAATGTATTTTATTTGTAACTTTTCTAAAAATAATGTTATACTGATGTGGATAAGTAGTAAATAAAACACCATGAAAAATTATGGGTCCATTGTTTTTATGCAGATGCTTCTCACCAGGTGATCTAATTTCACGTTAGCTAAGTAAAAGCCCCAATAAAAATCAATTAAGAAGATTTCTGTCTCTGGGAAAAATGATATAAAAGAGGTGAGACTTACCCTGCTGACTTAAACAACTTAAAGGCTAGACAAAATATATAAAATAAAGGTTTTAACAACACCAGACATTGGGCAATGAGGGACAGTGAAACTTGATGGACAGAAAACAACAAATGAAGTATATCTTATGATTACCCCAGCTATAGTCTTGACAGGGTCTCCAAGCAGCAGTACCCAAAGAAGGTACTCAGATGGAACCAAGAAAAATCCCTGATACAAGACCAAGAGTTGGGAATCTGGAGAGAACAAGAAAGCTAGACTAAGAAAGACTACCAGAGAGAAGAGAAATGCATATTGACAGAACACCGGAGAGCGGCAGACGGTCATTCAGGAGTATTTAGCGGATTACTGATGAAAACATGAATGTAAGACTAGAAATAATTCCTGTACCCACCTGTCAGGATGAGAAAACTCTCATAATACATGAGGCATTAGGGAGAGTAAATAAAATAATTTTGTTTAAGTTAATCTAGCTCTAGATTAATAGCTGCTCTGGTCCCACCTAAGAAAACGTAGAGTAAGACCCAAAGGATCAAACTGCTTCTATAAACTAAATCCCAGAACAAAGCTCAAAAATATTTATAAAAATGCAAAAATAGTCAGGACCCAAAAAGGCAAAATATTTTATAATGTCTGGGCATCCAATTAAAAATTATGAGGCATGCAAATAATCAGGAAAATATAACACATAATGATGAGAAAAAAACCAACCAGTTGAAGCTGATGCAGAATTGATGTTAGAATTAGCAGTCAAAATCATTACAATAATAATTATTAACTTTATCCCAAAAGTTTAAAATGTTAGCTGGAGAAATAGAGGAGATAAGGAAGACCCAAATTAAACTATTGAAGATGAAAACTATAATGTCTTAGATAAAACATACATTGAAGGTCAGGTGAGGTGGCTCATACCTGTAATCCTAGCACTTTGGGAGGCCAAGGTAGACAGATTGCTTGAGCTCAAGAATTCGAGACCAGCCTGGCAAAATGGCAAAACCCCATCTCTACAAAAACTACAAAAATTAGCCGGATGTGGTGGTATGCATTGTATTTCCAGCTACTTGGGAGGCTGAGGCAGGAGGATCACTTGAGCCAGGGAGGCAGAGGTTGCAGTGAGCTGAGATTGCACCACTGCACCCTGGCCTGAATGACAAAATGAGACCTTATCTAAAAAAATAATAATAATAATAATAAAGTACATTGGATGAGATTAGTTGCAGATTACATATTGCCAAAAAAGAAAATAATAAATAAACCTGAAAATAGCAAAAGAAACTATGCAAAATGAAGCACATGAAAAAATAATTTAAAAATAAATACAGCTCTATGTTTTTTAGTATATCACAGCTGAATGGATTTTAATACATTCATAGAGATATATAATAAATACCATTGAATTGTATACTTAATTGAATTCTTTGGTATGTTAATTATCTCTTAATGGAGCTGTTTAGAAAATATGAGCTGTGGGCAACTTCAAGATGTCTAATATATGTATATGGAGTCCCTAAAAGAAATAATGAGTAGAAAGATAGAAAAAATATATATTTTTAGAAATAGTGGCCAAAACGTTCCCAAGTTTTATTAATGTAATAAACCCAGAGATTCAATAAGCTCCATAAATTGTAAGTACAAGAAAAAACAATGAAATCAAATTGTATAATAATCAAATCACTCAAAATGAGAGATAAGATAAATCTTAGAAGCAGCCAAAATTAAAAAGACGTTTTATGTAGAAGTGAGGCAGGAGTATAGGGTCTGGAGGCAGGGAATTTAAGGCCGATTCTCGCTGACTTCCTACAACTAAATCAAAAGGAAAACCTCAACTTTCCATGCCCAAGTAACAAAAGGACCAAGGGCTACTACTCCCTTTGCAAACCTCTGCTTTTCCGCTTCAAAGATGAAATATTGAAAGGACCTCTGATTTGTCCCCTCCCACAACCAATCAGGCTGGTGGTGGGCCAAGTCTTCATTTGCATAGGAGTTTAACTTTGTAACTTCACTTCAGCCTCTGATTGGTCCCCTCCTGCAAGCAATCAGACCAAACGCAGGCCACTACTTCATTTACATAGGGTGTACTTCTAGTAACCAATGGGAAACCTCTAGAAGGTATTTAAACCCCCTAAAAATTCTGTAACTGGGCTCTTGAGTTGCTTGGCTGGGCCCGTTCCCACCTTGTGGAATGTGCTTTCATTTTTCAATACATCTCTGCCTTTGTTGCTTCATTCTTTCCTTGTTCTGTTTGTGTGTTTTGTCTAATTTTTGTTCAAAATGTCAAGAACCTGGACACCCTCCACTCGCAACAGAGACACAGAGGAAAGAATATTAGCAGATTTCACATTTAAAAAAATGTGAAAAAGAAGGTAGTGGAGCAACATTTTTAAAGTACTGAAATGAAATATTTGCCTTAGAATCAGGTAGAATTAGTTCTTCAAATTTATTCCTCCGTTTCAAGTCGTTTTGGTTACTCTAAGGCATTTGAATTTTTATATAAATTTTAGAATTATCTTGTCAATTTCTACAAGGACACCTATTGGGGTATTGAGATTTCATTGAATCTATAGGTCAATAGTGGAAATACTGACATTTTAACAATATAAAATCTCCTGACCCATAGATATTGTATAACTCTCGATTTACTTAAGTCTTTCATGGACCTTGTTGATAATGATGTGTCAATGTTGGTTCATCAATTATAACTAATGTACCACGTGATGTTGGTTGTCGCAGAGGCTTTGTGTGGGGAGGGGATATATGATAAACTTTGATTTTCCACTAAATTGCTGTGAAACTAAAACTTCTCTAAAAAGTAAAGTCAATTAACTTTTAAATAAAGGTTTCAAATTAATAACCTAAGTCTCAATATTTAGAATCTAGGAAAAGAGAAAGCTGAACCCAATGCAAGCAAAAGGAAAGACATAATAAAGACTATGGCAGAAATACATTGAGAAGAGAAAAATAATTTTAAAAATCCACAAAAGCAAGAGTTGGTTTTTTAAAAAGGCCAATACAAACGGTAAACTTTTAGCTACATTGACCAAAACAAAATAAAACAAAAAGACTCAAATAACTAAAGTAGGGAATTAATGAAAAGACATCACTATCAACCTTAAGAAATAAAAATAGTATTATAAGGAAATACTATTAAGAATTGTATGGCAAATAATTAAATAACTTAGATGAAATTGACTAATATCTAGAAAGACACAAATTACTGAAAGTGACTCAACAAAAAGAGAAAATATGAATAGGCTCATAACAAAGAGTCCAAATTTGTAATTTTAAAACTTCACACAAAGAAATAACTGAGATGATGTTACTGTTAAATCCCAGCAAATATTCAAAGAAGAATTAATATAATTCATCATATATCTCCAAAAAAAGAAAAGGAAGGACTACATCTTAATTCATTCTATAAGGTTATTATTATTATCACACCAAAGCCAAAGACTTACAAGGAAAGAAAATTACATGTCTATATTACTTTCAAATATAGATGCAGAATTCCTCAACAAAATACTAGCAAACCCAATCCAGCAACATAAAAAGGGATTATACACCATGAACAAGTGAGATTTACCCGAAGAATGCAAGGTTGGTGTAACATCCAAAAATAGTATAACACAGCAATTTAATGGAATACAAAAAAAAGATAATCTTGATAAACAGAAAAGCATGTGACAAAATCTAAAACCTTTCATGATTAAAAAAACAATTATCAAATGAGGAATAGAAAAAGCTTTCTCTACCTGAAAAATAGCATTTAAAAAATTTCATAGTTAATTATCATGCTTAACAAAGGAAGACTGATGTTTCTCCTTAAGATCAGGAATGAGTCAAGGTATTGTATGCATGACTGTGTATTTCTACAAATTTTTATATAACTCTTTTGGTGCATTTAGACTTTTTAAAAAGCTAGAATTTGAAATATTTATCAAAAGCACAATCTCAAAGATTGCATAATATTCTATCAAGTTGATATACTACGATGAATTTGAATATTTCTTATGGAAAATATGGTAACTTTTAAGTTTTATATATTATTATATGTATATATAAATATTATATGTATATATAAATTTATTATATATTAAATATATATTTATATGTATGAAATATATAAATTTATATATAATATAATATATTATATATTTATATATTACATATTTAGATGTATATAAATATGTGGATATATAAATTTATATATACATATAAATATTATATGTATAATTTATATATACATTTATATATACATATAAATATTATATGTATATATAAATACCTGTACTCAATATTTCATAAATATATATATATGTTCCCAGTACCCAATATTATTTTGGGGAGGTAGTTATACTGGGTAAAATAATAGGGAAACTTCCAAAGACTTTGATCCACTTGCTAAAATCCTTCACCAGTAAGTTTATACTGATTTATATCCCCACCAAAAATGGGGATCTCACTCCACACAAACTTTGAGCAGTATTTTGAAACTTCAACATTTCAGCAGAAGCTCATTGTTGTCTTAATTTGCAGTTAAGTTGATATTTAATATATTCATATTTTTCATATGCTTTTGATTATTCATACTTTTGGATCTGTATATTATATGTTCATATTTTAATAAAAATTTACTGGAGTATCATGTTTCTTTATGCTTTATATACAAAAAAAGTCACCTTGCACACTACCATAACTGCTCATAGTATTTTCTCGTTCTTTCAATCTGGTTGTGAAATTTTTAATGTAGTAAACTCTTAAATTTAGGTTATAATTTGAGTTTCTTGAGATATTTGGCCCAGGTCCCTCACATATTGTTATTGACTAAAGTACTCCTTGTAGTAAGGACATAAAGAACAAAGTGTATATAAACTGAATAGTAGTAGTATCCAGTGTTAAGAAAAATTATCCAAAACTTGTGAATAAAGCAAAAGAAGGACTGCATATCCTTTCAATGTCATACTGATGCATTAAATAAAAGGCCCAGGCATGAGCATTTAATTCATGAGGGAAATGTAATTTCCTTTGATATATTATTTACTATTAATTAGGGTCCAAATTTTGAAATTACATGTTAATTTATTATTTTCTCTGGTGGAGACCTAATAGATTTTTGTCCAAAAGTAATCCCAAAGGTTATGATTTTTTTACCCTTAGGCCTTAAGACAATTATATATGTCATCTACCAATTCTATTCCAACACTTTCTTCTTCAATGACTATACTTAATACTCAATTGCTAAAATGTTCTTTCGATCACCTTTACCATCTGACTAGTTCCCTCATTTATGGTATTATAAATAGGTTCACACATATTTTGAAACCAAGTGGTTAATTTAATCAGCCTGTGTGGCTTGCTTTCTGTTTTTGGGGTTTCTTTCCCTCTTTTTCAAGAACATGAAGGTCAATGAATGCTGAAACTTAACTCTCACTGGCTACTTTATAAATAACATGCATAGGTCACCATGATAACAGTCACTTCAGTTATTTTATAGGAACTTGGGCCAGCTCCTGTCCAGTTCCAACTGTTAGAGACCATCAGCCCTTTAATTGGGCCTGTACAAGAACCCCAGATGTGATCTTTTCAAGTCAGAAGGCCAAAAACTCCACCTGCAAATCATGCCAATGCCACCATTTTCTATACATATGTCCTTTCAAATCCCATGAACTCCAACTGTGCTTACATAAAACAAAACCTGTTACTTTATTTTTCTCTACTACCAATCTCCTTTCTCCATGCCTTAGACTACTCTACTTCCCTAACCCATAAATATCCCTAAGCCTGATCTTCTGTGAGGCAGATTTGAGAGCTGATCTCTCACCTCCTTACTTGGCAGTCTTGCAAACAAATCTTTTCTCTTTTGCAAAACTTGTGTCACGGTGATTGATTGAGTGCATGCAGTAGAATGACCTGGACCTGGCCAGCAATGCTTTAACATATATTCCTCTAGATTTGATGATGGTCGTATTTATCTAACATTTATAACTTTTTAAAAATTAACTTTGCACATCTGTGTTTATGTACAAATTTTTAAACATGAATACTTTTATCCAAAATTCTATCTTTATTTGTTTTGTGCTATTTAGTTTATAATTTCTGTTTGTGTTCCTCTCATTTTAAAATTTCTTCTTTGCTGTTTTTGTTTTACTTCCTTATATCTTCACATATAAATTGTATGGTCATATCTTATTACTGTTCAATTTAGGTTATCTTCATTTTTTCCAACATATTTCAAACTTTATTTTGAAGATCAAAAAAGAAATATAAGCTTAGTACTTTATCATAGGTTTAAAGCTCTGTTCTTTGGCAGTTACTTCATCCCACCTAGTCTCTAGTTGATTTCTTAAAGCAGTCGGTGTTTCAAACCCAAACAGTTGAGTACATTATTATTTTCATATTACATATGGTTTTATTCAAGAATAATATCTCCATTAAATTTTATCACCCCAATTAAAACAAGGTTACGTAGTAATAATGTGCTAAGAACTATGCTGAGAACTTAAATATATATATTTGGTCACAAAATTACCCTCTGAGATTGGTTCCATTATTATCGCCCATTAAGAAAACACAATCTGAGGCTTAGAGAAGGTAAGTATCTAAGGTCACACATTTCTAAGTTATCCACCCAGGAATTGAATCTAATTTTGTCTTCCAGGAACCTGTGCTCCAAACCACTATGAGAATTTGCTTTTTAGTTTTGTTTACATAATTTCAGTGTTCATCATTGGAAATTTTCTGTCACATTCTCATATTTTAAATTTTAATTTAATGTCATCTTTAGTTAGCTATAATATACTGTCAAGATTTTTTTTTCTTAAAGAGGAAACTTTGGAAAATAATTTTTAAGACCTATATAAAAATCTACTTTTCTATTGTTTTCACAATTTAATGACAACCCAATAGCAAATAAAGATTGCATGTCATAATCTGTTGCCCTTTAAATGAAATGCTCCAATGTTAATTACAATGTCATCTTGCAGATAATACGTTACCAGACTAATTTTTGGCATTATCTATTTTATTTTTCAACTCAAATACTAACTCCTCAAAGACATAATATGGGGGTAATTTCAACATTTTTCAAGATGCATCTAGATAATGTGTCTTTTTTCTATTTTGTATTTTAAGAGAGAGGTTCAAGATGTCTAACTGGAGACAGCAGATGCCAGTTCTCAAAAAGGAAAACCAAAAGTACAAATAGGTATTTTGTATCTAATATAAAGAATGTTTTGCTCTAAGTAATCAATTTTTGGCTGTGAAAAGTTTTCTTCAAATATGCCTTTGATTACTAGTTCTATTTCATTTTTTGCAGTGTTCCCTAAAACTGTTCCTTGTGCTTCCCACTCATACAAACGTATTCTTCAATGACTTATTTCTTGACCATTTTTGTAGTGACTACCAGAGATTTTCTTAAAAAGTATCTCACATTTCACAAATATTTTTCTGTTGGCACTTGTTGCTGTTGTTGCTGTTGTTGTTGTTGTTGTTGTTGTTGTTGTTTTGGCTTCTTTGCTTAAAGGCTGGATATCTTATTTTAGTTATTCCTGAAATAAGGATTGATCTATAACTTGGTTTCTATAATAATAGTCTTTGTAGATTGTTCTTGGTCCTATTTTGTGGATTAAGGGCAAATCAATCATTTGATAGAAACAGATGCTGGTTCCATCAAATAATTGAAGCTATTAAAAATAACAAAGCAAATAAAAGCAAATAAGAAAACATGGCTTTATAGGCAAAAGGGTGTAAGATCTAAGAAGAGCAGGTAATGATGTGGGTTCCAATGACTACTCACTATAACAAAAAGCAATATTTTAAAAATAAGAATGACAGTGGGAGGCTTTTATGAGTCACAGAATTAACAAGTAAATTTTTATTTTACCTACCATGCCCATTTTAACATAATTGGTACCCAAATATTGATGATGATAATGATAATAACAATCAATAAAAGGTGGCAGAGGAGAAAAAGGAGGAAAAAGAAGGATACGTATACTGTGGATTATTATTTGTAATGCCCTATGGTAAGTATTTTACTTTTTTTTTTTACAGTTTTAGTATAAAGAACAAGAAGTAAAAAGCTAAAAATAGAAACATACAAGGTTTTATGAGTTTCACTGTTTTGTTGATACTTAAGAGCTGAGCACACTTTTATCCCATGGAGGTCTAATAAATATTTTCCATCTTTCTAAGTTAGATATCTGGTCTGAGTTCCAGCTAGGGAAGAGTTTGACCAAAATTCCAACATTTATATATATATATCTACCATGTACATAAATATAAAAATCTATATACTTAAAAGCACAGTATACATTTTTATTATCTAGTTTATAATCAGTTTATTTGAAGATTTGTAAGTTAGAATAGGCTTTTAGACCATTGTGATTTCCTAAACAACTGTCTTATTTTCTTTCATTTCTATCTAAATCATAGTCAAAAGTAATCAAGAGTTCTAGCACTTCACTAATAGAAACAGGGCATTTCCAACAGAACAAAAGATCTCAGTAAAACTATCTCTCAGAAATGAAGACATCAAAATGAAACTACTGCCACTTAATTTGAATTTTCACCACAATCTTAAAGGATTATTTTTCTTCAGTTGCTACTTACATGACTCCTATATTTTTTTGCCCCCGGATGTTCTAAAGTGTTGCTTTGACAGCTAAAATTTCACTAATCAGCCCAAGGGACTTTTAACTATCCAACTTGCAGAAAAAGAAATTTTATTATAAATGATACAAAATATAATGGAACAATACTAATTACATATTGTACTGGAGGAAAATGCCTCTGCATGATGCATTTTTAAGAAGGGCTGGGAGCTATGGGAATGCACTTGATAGAAATGAGTAGGTACAAGCAGTTTAAACTTGAACCACGTTTATAAATGTTGGACAAAAGGTTTTCATATGCAATTTATATTTTTCTTCTTGTACAGGTCAAGGAACAATTCAAAACAATAATTTCTCTGATATAGTTTTCATGTTCCATATATTCGAATTTCTTAGTTTTTTAAAATATCTATCATTCATTAGAAGCCTGAAGTACATATATAAAAATAAATAAATATTGCTTACAGTCATGCCGATGACTTAAAATATTTCTGCACTTCACGGTGAATTGCTCATTCACCTGAGTGTTTAACAGTGTCAGTGTGCTCAACATTATCATATTTAATTGAATAGTTCAACAAGATAATATGCCAGAGCACACATCATTCTCTGAAATCATTCAATGCATTAGGCTCACAATAAATAAAGTAACACTTAAATGCAATACAGGGGACTTAGAGGAAAATATACAAACAGGAGAAAAGAAAGGGATACACGAAAGCAAATGAAATTTGATAGCGAAAGAAAAGATAGGTGGGTGTATGGGAAGAGATTTCTGAAATCTGATTACACCAATTCTGAAACGTCATTTTCTCAAATAATATAATAACTTAGGTGACCCCCTCACCAGCACAAATTTTACTTGTTCCAGAACACTGAATACTTCCTTATTAAGCAGGGGAAAGTTCAAATTCAAATGAAACTTTCAAATAAAATTAACATAATGTGTTAGTCTTTTATTTTGCAAAATTAAAACAAGATTCATGTAATACAAATGATTCTTATTCCATTATTAAAATTACTAAGGTAATTAATATATTACAGAATGATATGAGGATTATCTTTCTCTGTTCTACTCATCCTATGGATAGTGATCAAGAATAATATTCCTAATATTATCAGATTGCTAACTTTTACTGGACTCTGAATCGTAATAATAGAATCTGTATGTTTCTGAGTCCTGGGGCCAAGGCAGGTGCTCCTGCAGATTCTTCCCCAAACAGCTGAAGGTTGGCAAAAATTTAGGAATCTGATAGACCGAGGCTCAGATTCCAGCTTCATTGCTGGCTAAATGTGTGACCTCAGATAAATTATTTATTGTCTCTCAGCTTCATTTTCCAGAAATGTAAAATGATGAGAATAATGCTTAATACAGAGGTCTGTTGTGACAATAAATTAACAAAAGAAAAGTAAATATCCTCTCCCACAGTTGAAGTTCTATCTATGTTAATTGCCTTTCTTTCTTTCCCCATTCTAAGTAGATGGTTCTTAGAATACAAAAATACCTGGAATGCTTTTAACCAGAGAACAATTAGTGCAGAATAAAGTCATTGAGAAAAAACTGGCCTGGGTGTAGTGGCTTACGCCTGTAATCCCAGCACTTTGGGAGGCCAAGGCAAGAGGATTGCTTGAGCCCGGAAGTTCAGAACCAGCCTGGCCAACATGGCAAAACCCTGTCTCTACAAAAAAAGAAAACAAAATATTAGCCTGGCATGGTGGCACGCCCCTGTAGACCCAACTGTTCAGGAGGCTGAATTAGGTGGACCCCTTGAGCCTAGGAGGCTGAGGCTACAGTGAGCTATGATCACACCACTGTACTCCAGCCTAGACAACACAGTGAAACCCTGTCTCAAAACACACACACACATACACACACACATGCACACCACATTTAAAAGAACCACATTTTTGTTTTAAATAGTTGAGAAGTAAAGGACTAATTTGAACTTTGCTTTGAAAAATGTGATTAAAAATCATGAGTATAACTGTATCTTATATTTAACAAAATAAATTTAATCTTGTAAATACAATTATATGCTAATTCTTAGAACAAAAGAAAAAATGTGTTAATGGCAAGGTAGAACTGTTTCAGATAAATGGTAGTGTAACATGACACATAGGAGGTCATTCTCCTCATGTGTCAAATATTTAGCCCCAAAAGCATCATTTTTGCAAAAGGAATAACGGAGCTTTTATTTTATTTTATTTTATTTTATTTTATTTTATTTTATTTTACTTTATTTTATGATGGAGCTTCACTCTTGTTGCCCAGGCTGGAGTGTAATGGTGTGATCTGCACCCTCCGCCTCCTGGATTCAAGTGATTCTCCTGCCTCAGCATCCCGAGTAGCTGGGTTACAGGCGCCCGCCACCACGACAGACTAGTTTTTGTACTTTTAGTAGAGATGGGGTTTTACCTTGTTGGTCAGGCTAGTCTCAAACTCCTGACCTTAGGCAGTCCACCCACCTCCCAAAGTGCTGGGATTACAGGCGTGAGCCACCACGCCTGGCACAGAGCATTTAAAACAAATTCTTCAAGAAACATAAATAATGGGTATATGTAATGAAAGTAAAGAACCACTTGGCTACATAACCAATTGTAATGTGCATTTCTATTTCAATTACCTTAACATACCTTATTTTGGCCTAAAGCCAATTTTTCTTTATTTTTTTTAAATAATTTATTTTTTCTTACTTTATTTTACATTCAGGGATGCAAGTGCAGGTTTGTTACATAGGTAAACTTGTGTCATGGGGGTTTGTTGTACAGACTATTTCATCGCCCAGGTATTAAGCCTAGTACCCATTAGTTGTTTTTCCTGATCCTCTCCCTCCTCCCACCCTTCACCCTCTGAAAGGCCCCAGTATGTTTTGTTCCCCTCTCTGTGTCCATGTGTTTTCATCATTTAGCTTCCACTTACAAGTGAGAACATGCAGTATTGGGTTTTCTGTTCCTGTGTTAGTTTGCTAAGAATAACGGCCTCCGGCTCCATCCATGTCCCTGCAAAGGACATGATCTTACTCTTTTTCCTGGCTGCATAGTATTCCATGGGGTGTATGTACTACATTTTCTTTATTTATTACAACAGTAAAATATAAGATAAAATATGAATGTATTTTATAATTTTTTGAAAAATCTTTAGCAAATTTTA
Organism: Homo sapiens; assembly: GCF_000001405.40. NCBI lineage: Eukaryota > Metazoa > Chordata > Mammalia > Primates > Hominidae > Homo > Homo sapiens. The sequence goes on along the minus strand of NC_000006.12, from coordinate 97,867,222 downwards.
GGCATAATTTGATTGTTATTATTACATATGAATTGAGGGAATAGCCACAATTAACCATGATTAACATTATTAATATGATTAACAAGAAGCTTAAATATAATCCTTTGCTTAAGGATTAATTTACATTTAGCATTAAAAACCCTGGGCCTTTCTTAGACCAAATAGCAAGCATCTGATATTCCTTAATAGATTTTTAAAATAGGCACAATTTTTATGACAGCATCATCAGAGCTGCTGAAATTTTGAAGCTAAAAGGTGTGGTATAGATATGAAACACTGTAGTTAGTTTTTTTTGTTTAAATGTTGGACTCATGATTCAAAACTTTGAGATCACATCATATACTGTATGCTCCATTCACCTCGAATATGTTCTTCTATTTTTTTTTCTTCTTGGTGCATGTCATTGCACATAAATTTTGACACATTCTGAACAGAACAAGAAACTACTTGCTGTCACAATGAGTAGTTTGCTACCCAAAGTTAGAGTATTTATTTAGACATTAAATCAGTACTCCTTCGATGAATTGGAAATTCAATTATAGTGAAAGGAACAGGTTTGGTGACCCTTTCTGTGATTACATCTTGCAAACAAATGTATCTAAATCATAAAGGACTGACATTTTACTAAACAAGTTGTTGTACTGGCCAACTTATTACCCACTTACTTAAGTTAAACTAGTACCATGTAGGTATTTTCATAAAAATACATAAATAAAATGAAACCTCTAATTTAAAATATAAATGAAATCAGTAGGACTCTGCTTTTTAATATGTATAAGCCACATGATCATGAATCAAGTTGAACAAGATCTTACAAATATAAATGTATAACTTATAACTTGCAGAAAATATCTAAGATTACAAAAGGATTCTTACTGAGGTATTAAAATAATATATTTCATTAGGCTACTTAAAAGTTCTCAGAATTTCAATGAAACATGAACTTTAAAAAGCAGGAAAATTTTTATCCAATTGTCATCATTGTCAAAATGTTAAATGTGTTGGCTGTTTAACATTCATATATACATACTACCAGGATCAATATAAAGAAATACCATTACTTTTGCTATTAAATATTTGGTAGAACTAAAGATAACCTTGGATTAGGAGATTTCTAAGTAAAATCTTAGAAAAATGGATCAGTAAGTACTGTTCTATTTTGAATTTAGCCTAGACTGAGGATAATAAAGTTCACTGTTCTCTGAGAATACTTTTAGTTAGGGCATGTGGGGAAGACTGGATAAAATCTGGTCATTGAAATAAAGCTTCCAGGAAAAACTAAAAATAAAAGAGGAAATGTTTGGCAGACTCTAAGTGATTCAGGCCACCTTATTGTAATCCATTCCACACCCAAATCAATTAATTAGTAGCCAACATCTGGAAGACTGGAATGTGGCATTCCAATGCATGCTTCTGGCCTGTGCTCCTACGGGCGCAGCCCTTACTCTCCAACAGACAACTTCCTGTGCAAACACAAACCAGTCATTACAAGTTCAGTGTTCTATCTCAAGGTTATTTCTAGATTTAATTCTTTACTGTAGTTATGGAAAACTAAACTGCATTATTGAACATTTTTAATGCACTGTAATTTTTATATGAGAAAGTTTTTTGCCTGTTGGAATTAATGGTTCATTTAAGCATCAGAATGTTGCAGTCCATAGATTATAGCTGTCTATAATCCTAAATATTATAGCCTCCATTTTTCTATAAATGTCACTTTTCTTAACCTGATTTTCTCAAAATGTACCAAGGATGGAAAAACAGGGAAAAAAAATCATGGGATAATCTGAAAAATAAAAATGCAGAAAAATGGGACAATTTAACAGTAAACAGTAATTGGAAACCATTCACATTGTAACCTGTATTGGAATATAAGTTTTTTGAGGGTAGGACTGTGTCCTTTAAATAATACTGTATATTTCTATTTATGTAAAACATCTCATATACCCTCATGAACATGAGAATAATTACAAAAAGAATAGTAAGTCTGACATGTCTCTTTGTTTATTTATATATGAAATACAAGTATATAATTTCATGTTTGTATTTGGTTATTTATTTATGAATGTTGGCTTTAGAACCAATACATTTCTGTGTCAAATAAGCACAGATGACACTTCGGTCTGTTTCAAGTCCCCATAGGCCTTATGATGGCTTTCTGCACAATGCATAACAGTCTCTGTGACATTCAGGCTTGGATGTCATCCAACTTTTTAAAGCTAAATGTGGACAAGACTAAATTATTACTCATAGGATCTCCTCAACATCAATCTTTATATTTCTTTTTAGTTCTTGCCTGTGACGTCTAGTATATCCTTCTCAATGTCTCAGGGCTCATAATACTGAACTGATTTTGGATTCTGAACTTTGTTTTTGATGTCCATATTAATCAGATTGCAAAGTCATCTTATTATCATCCTAGGAGCCTTTCTAGGATATATCTTACTGAGTCTCCAAGGGACACAGAAACCCTCAGATGTACTTCCGTTAGTTCTTGCTAGGATTACCGTAATTAATTATATTCTGGCTTACCTGTCATTTCTACTCTCAACTGCTTACAGTTGGTGCAGACGAGGGTAATGTATGAAGGCATACAAAAACTAGAATATCTAATCACATTACTTCAGCAAAGAGGAAATTCTGCTTGCGTCTAGGAAAGCTGTGGATTGTGGTTAAGCCTTTATTCCCTACAAACATGACAGGCATCTGAACTATAGTCAAGTAATCTGTTCTCACTAATTGCATTTTTCTTTAGGAAAAGTACCAAGCATTGAAAATATTAGTTCCAAAGGCAAGTATACCTCATAGAAAACATAATAGTTATGATCCTGAAAGGTTGAAAAATTAACATTTTATAAATTGATTCCCATTTTTTGTGAACTTGGTAGAAAGGCTTAATGTATAAAAAAACCTTGTTCAAAATCACGTATTATTTTGTTATGCAAATAACCAACCACTGTGTTTATTTGTTCCATAAATGTGAATATTAGCAGTAGCATATTAGATTTAATAAGTCAAAGCACACCTGCATTGGTGCTGTAAAAAGAAACAACCACCTCTGTTTTAGTCTTGATTCTGACCCCTGAACAAGTCCTCCAGGGAAGCTGGCTAAGCAGGGGCAGATTTACAATATGTCCTCAGCCAGACACTCACAGAAATTGCCCAAAAAGTACAATAAAATATACCTATGTTGTATTTCATGTGTGATTATACATTTACAATTCTTCATTCTGGGGCTTGTTTCACCTTAATAATTTCTTTCTTTCCTGTAATGCTGTTCCAGTGTCAAAACACCATCATGAGAAATCTATGAGATTGAAGCACTTTACTGACTTTGTCTTCTATGTCAGAGATGACTTGTAATGTAGCAAGATGAATCTTTCTCCACATCAAATCCATAAAAGGTATAAACAATGTGAAGGCAAAAGACATGCTATACTTGCTTCATGCCTGTACTCTTTACCACTTTCTTATATGTATCAACCTGTTGAAGGCAGCTCCTATGATAGATTTGCAATGTAATTTTAATAAAACCATGCTATCATGGAACATCTCAATTGGTCAAAAAACTAGCCCAGATACTGAACCTGAAAATAACAATATATTTCCCTGAATCATCTATTGGTTTAGGAATTGGAATAATAAAGGGAGGCTAAAAGCAAAATTAATACCCTTGCGAACATTCAGGACAGATGGTAAGTGACTAGGGACAATGTGAAGGATAAGAAGAATCTTGAAATTAAAATCATCCTTGAGATAAAAGACATTGAGCTCCTCTTGAAAATCAATGGTAAGATATTATCTAACAGTGCTATTTATTACCCAGTTTTTGGAGATTACTAAGTAGCAGCTAGGTAGTACATTTTGGAAGACTGCTTAATTAGTCATATTTTATTGAAATATAAAGGTAAAACACTTCTGTTAGAGTAATAGCACAGTTTCTTAAAGTAATGGAAATCCAGCTGGGCATGGTGGCTCAGGCCTGTAATCCCAGCACTCTGGGAGGCCAAGGTGGGAGGACTGCTTGAGCCCAGGAGTTCGATACCAGTCTGGGAAACATGGTGAGGCCAGGTCACTACAAAAGTTTAGAAAATAATAATAATTAGCAGCAAGGCACAAGCTTATAGTCCCAGGTACTTGGATGGCTGAAGTCGGAGGATCATTGAGCCCAGGAGTTTGAGGCTGCTCTGAACTATCACTGTGCCACTACACTCTAGAGTGAGAACCTATTTTGGAAAAAAAAAAAAAAAAAGAAAGTAATGGAAATCCTATCCTTCACTGCCTTAAATCAAGGGTCATCCTCTCCTCTTATGAATATACTCCTTCTTCAATTACTTCCTTAGAACTTCCAAAAAAAGTTAACAGTTCCAACAGTGAGAGCAAAGGTCACATCTGCCTTCACCAGGATCTTTCTGACCTTTATGAGTTTGTCAGTATTCTACGCCATCGTTGACTGGAACAAAGTTGTGCTCACCGGGCGTGGTGGCTCACGCCTGTAATCCCAGCACTTTGGGAGGCCGAGGCAGGCGGATCACCTGAGGTCAGGAGTTGGAGACCAGCCTGGCCAACATGGAGAAACCCTGTCTCTACTAAAAAATACAAAATTAGCCGGGCGTGGTGGCGCATGCCTGTAATCTCAGCTAGTCGGGAGGTTGAGGCAGGAGAATCGCTTAAACCTGGGAGGCAGAAGTTGCAGTGAGCCGAGATCACGCCACTGCACTCCATCCAGCCTGGGCAACAAGAACAAAACTCCATCTCAAAAAAAAATAAAGTCAGTTGTTGTGCTTACAATTTTCAGTTGATCATAAGGCTCTTCCCTTTCTATATAAATAAAAAACATCCGGTAGGATGTTTTGAAAATTCCACACACTGAAAAGGCATTCCTGAGTATAAGAATTAAGCAGTTTTCTTTTCCAAAGTCATCAGGAAACACTAGAAATATTTATGTCACAAACAAATCTACAATGTTCATTTACTCCTTCTTAACATATTAATAAATATCTACTTGTTAAGTGACAGAAGAAAATCTAAAAGGAAACCTAAGTACATCTTCAAACTGCCATCAAAATACAATTGCCAAAAATAAGAGAAAAATTATAATATTTACTATATTATTCACTCAAAACAGCTATCATAAGAAAAATCAGATTTTTGTCATACTTAAACTATTTTGCAGTTTCATATGTTTTAAACCTAATATTTGGTGGAGGAGGGCTTTACCCTTTTATCAGTGCTTAAGGTCTCTACCGTTATTATCTAGACTTGCATATGCCAGGCCAAGAGCTGGGTTTATTACTGTGAATTAGACAAATGAGGTCCTTGTTCTCAAGAACATTAAAAAAAGGTGATGACTATAGATAAGCCATAAGAAAATATGTCAGATGGGGCAACTGCCTTAGATGCAGTGATCATAAAGATCTCTCTGAGTGCATGACATTTAAGCTGATAACTAAAGGATGATAATAAACGTGCCTTTCAAAGAGATGAGGGAATTCCATGTCTGCATTGGTAGCAGCCAAAGTAAGAGCCAAGGGAAGGAAAGGAAGGAGCTTGATATAATTTCTTTAAACAAGAAAGAACAAAAGAAAGAAGAGGGAAAGAAAGAAAACAAAATAGTGTGGTCAAAGTATATGGATGAAGTAGTGGAAAGGGTCAAGATGAGTTTGGAGACGGAGGCAGAAGAATAAATGAAGTCGCATGAACTAAATACAGTGAAATAAGCAGTTCCAGCATCATTATAATAAAAGTTGGAAGTATTGAAAGAATTGGGCAGGACAGTTGAAGTGACATGATCTATGTTCTTAACAAATTATTCTGGCTGCTGAGTGTAGACTGGAGAAATAATAGGGATAAGGCTCCTCAGGTTCTAGTTGGAAAACCGGGTGGATGACTGTTTTCTGAGAAACAATGAAACTCCTGATATTGAGAGTCTGAGGGAGGAAGATAAAATAGGCAACATAATACAATACTTTCTTTTGGATGTACTATGTTTGAGATGTTTATGATACATTTAGGAAGAGATATGAGGTGGGCAGTTTGGATATAAAACCCTGGAACTTAGAGGAGAAGACAGAGCTTAAAGTATAAATTTTGGAGTCAAGAGTATATATATATATAGTGTATCTAAAACTAAAGGAAGATCATTTGGAAAGTTAGCAGTGACAGAGAAGAGAAAAAGTCTCCAGACCAATCCTAAATGTATTTCATTATGTAGAGGCCTAAGAAAAGAGATCCATTAAGAGATAGAAGAAGTAGGAGTAGGAAGTTAAGTGAGGAGCTGGTTTCAAAAAGAAAGGAGTGGTCAAATCTTGCTGCTTGTTTAAAGACAAAAGGAGGCAATAATTGTCCATTCATTTTGGCTAATGGGCCATGGCTGTAATTGGTGGGAGAAATAAGAGCTGTTACAGTGCATGGTAGAGACGGAAATCAAAATGGGGGCAGGAGATGTGATTAGATAATGAATTGTGGATAAGGAAGTAGAGATAGCAGCTTAAATTTAATCCCTATATTATGGGCTGTTATTGCAAAGCAAGATGCATGTAGATAAACTAAAAACTCAAGGTCATGTTTTTGTAAAATATTACATAATGGCATAAAGCGGAGGGTTTCTATTAGATATCACACACCTGCACCACCCAGTTCTTTACAGCACTCTAAGTCAATGTTTAAGGATTGAAAAATAGAAATTGCAGAAAGAAATGAAATTCCTTTGGCCTACTTTTCAGATTGCAGCAGTTCTTCATTCTGATGGCCCATTTAAAGATAAGTAAACAAAGAAACAAAATCCTATAAGCTATTTAGGCAAAAAATATCTACAACAGAGAAAAGAAAATAAATATAGTGTAGCATATATTGATGAAGAACATATCCAGGAATATAAAATTTTAGATGATAAGCACTGGGTACTGCCAAAAGAAATAAAGAAAATATGAACACTATATTTTAAAAATATAAAAGAAGATAAGACAAGAAGATAGACAATGAAGACAATGTGGGACAAGCTAAGGAAATATTTTAAGGAGAGAAATTATGTCATAATAAAATTTTAAATATTGTTAAAAACAACCAAATAAAGAGTCAACAATGCTGAAAACTGAATCTAAGATATGAATAATAAGCTTGAGAAAACTGTAGGCAAATATAAATTGTCAATTATCAGCCAAGAAGGTGGGTATGCAATTAAATCTAACAAATGCAGAATTTAATTTCTGAAGAAGAGAATAAAATGGAAAATATGCTCAAATATTTTGTATTTAACAATGCAACAAATGTAAAGCTGCATAACAAATGTGAAGCTATTTATAAGTATGGGGTCTTCTAATTGTGCAACAATGCTTTCATGTAACATTCTTTCCAAAAATATGCTTGTAGCTTCAGTTTTAAAGAGAATGTTGAAATGTGGCTGGATATATCCAGTTTTGCCAGATAGCAAAAACTGGCTGTAGTTTCATAGTTCAAGAAAAGGGTATTAGAAAAGCAGATAATTTCCTCCTCCTTTTCAGTTTTTTTAATAGAAAGGATTAATAAAAATTTAGAAATCCAAATTACAACATAACTGAGCTATTATAATATCTACTCTGTCTTAGCCTGTCTTAAATACCGGAATAATATTTACTGTTACTAATATCAAAATATAAGATAACGTGGTCTAAAACTGAAAATGCTAATCACTTTTAGTTACTGAGTGTGGAGGAAGTAAATAGTATAATTACTTTGTTGGATAAGAACTGAAGATGACAACCACATCCAAACCTTTATAGATGTCTTGCAATTCCCTCTTCTACCAGAAATCGTGACTGAGAGAAAAACCAAAAGCAAAAACAAATATAAAAATAACAACATAAACACATTTCTCCCATTTAGACAGGTAAAATATGCTAATAAATTGGCAAGACTGTTTGAAATGAATTATTTTCTTAGAAACTATGAATCATTAAGGCTGACTCAAGAACCACTAAATAAGCCAATAACTATGAAAGAAATTAAGAAAGTTATCAAGCAATATTTTCTCATAAATGTTTTGGCAAATATTATTATAATTCTTCATATATATTATATATACATATATATATATATATATTTTTTTTTTGAGATGGAGTCTCAGACTGGAGTGCAGTGGCCTACAGGCACACACCACCATGCCCAGTTTTTTATTTTTATTTTTTGAGACAGGTTCCTGTTCTGTCACCCAGGCTGGAGTGCAGTGGCACGATCTCTGCTCACTGCAACCTTCACCTCCCAGGTTCAAGCCTCAGCCTCCTGAGTAGCTGGGATTACAAGCACAGGCCACAATGCCTGGCTAATTTTTGTATTTTTAGTAAGACAGGGTTTCACCATGTTGGCCAGGCTAGTCTCGAACTCCTGACCTCAAGTGATTTCTAGTTACTTATGAAGTTTCATGCTTTTAATATCAAAGACTTACAAAAATAACTTTTAAAATGATGTGGAAAATTTATTTTTAAATTATTGATGCACAGTTTCTATATAAGATAATAACAAAATATTTAATCATATATTAAAATTATTAAAATATACAACATGAATTTTTAAAATTCATTTTATAATTCAGGGACTATTCATTTTTCAATAGCTCAGAGAATAAAATTATATGATTACCTCAAAAGAACTCTAAAGTATATTGGCTAAAATTTAAGATCCATTCTAAAATTTTAAATAAACAATTTAAATGTTATTTATAAAACAATAAGAATAAACACTATTGAATTTACTATAGGCAGGAGTAAGAAAAAAAGTCTTTTTCATATTATTTTAACACAAAGCTATCCAAAGCAACTTAACATGAATAGAAAAGTAACAACAAAAAAACCTAAATATCATTATTGGAAAGGAGAAAGCAAAATTATCATCGTTAGCCAATAATATTCTTGTATAACTAAAAAAGCTAGGAAAAAATACCATTAAGGGATTAGAGCTCTGCATCATGATCAAGAAACTAAAATTTGAAAGAACAGTTTTCTTACATACTAGTCAATGTCAATTATAAAATGTAATATAAAAATAATTCCCATTTGCCACAAATAAATGAAAATATTAGATTCCTTTGTCTATTTAATAATAAATGTATAAAAATATATAAAGGAAAATGTAAAATTAACAATAAATACATATAAATTTGATTTAACATGTAGATTTATAACAAAAATTGCAGCTATGAAGAGTATATTATCAAATAAAATAAATATCACATATATGGTGTTTTTATATACTGAGAATTTCTTGAACTGACACATTAAGAATGACAATTCATCTTAACACATAAATTATATGTGAATATCAGATAAACACTTAAGGAAACTCTGATAAATTTAAATACAGAATAATTAAAATCTGTCCTTCAAAACTACAATCTCCAAAAGGTAATTTTTAAAAAAAAGAAAATTGAAGGAAATATTTGGTACACATACAGCAAGCAAAGGGTCAGTATTTTAGTATATAGAAAGCATTAATAATTAATAGAAAGGTTAATGCTTCAATAGCAAAAAAGTGTTAGATGAGAGGAATTCTCAGTCATAGAAATGGTCAAAATTGTATGAAAAATGATCAGACACACAGCGAGTAAATAAAAGTAAAACAAAGTGAGATTTTAAAATTTGATGACCAAATTTGCAACAATTGAAATGTATAAGATCTCTCCGTAGTTAAATGTGAAAAAATTATTGTACATCAAGATAAACTACTACATATCCATTATAATAGAGCGAATTAACACTGTAACCTTTGACTTGGAATGCTGTCAAATTTCTGCAAGGTGTATTTGAGTCAGAAAAGCAAGATACTATTAAGAATATAGCATATTAATTATTCTGTTAAAAATATAGATGAATCAGTATAAAATTAGATAAACAGCTCTTCATAATACAGATATATTTATGGATGAGTGTGCATGTGTGTGTTTGTGTAAGTATTTGTGTGTGTATTTATATATAAGTACATGTATATATAAGTGTGTATCGTGTATGCACTTACATACATATATATAAGTGTATGTGTGTGTGTATATATGTATATATATATATATATATCTGGCTCTGTACTATGTTGTCTGTTCCTGAGGTAGGTATGGAAAGATGGGAAAACTGGAAGAAGAGAAGGAGGGCTGGAAAAGCTAACAATAACTGCACTAAAAAAGAAACACTACATAGGGTGTGATCATATTTATACAAAATTATAAATATATATGAGTATAATAAGCATTTCAAAATTACCAAAAAAAAATCTTCGGCTGATTTATAGGATGGTGATGATATTTTACAAGGAAAATGCGTAAATCACAGATTATTGTCATTAATATGGTTCTATTTTGGTGGTAGAAATAAAGAAGCACACTCTCCATGTTCAGGTTTGCATATGTTTGCATGGGTAAAGAAGAAGGCACAGCAGCCTACCGACATTGCTTACTTCGGAGGCGGGCAGTTACAATCGGAAGAGGTCCAATGGCCAAGCAATTAACTACCAACATTTTATATACATGTAATACAAAGACCATGTATTAAATATGTTAATACCTATTTTTTAAAATCTCCGAGTCTTATCTAACAAGACATATCAAGTGCCTTCAAAATATTCATTTCTCTTGATGCAGTAATTTCTCTACCATGAATTTTTTTTTAAGAAATAATCACAGAGGTCTTCTAGGATTTACATACAAGAATGTTAATTGAAATTATATTAACAAAAATTTGAGCTAACTTTCCACCAACGAGAAATTGGCCAAATACATTACATAAAATTTTATATACAGAGACATAATATATAATTTCTATGTATTTGTATTTTACACTCACACACACACATTTCTATGAAGACATTTAAAGCCATGTAGTCACATTTTGAGAAACATATGAAATCCTTTGTCTATTCTACATGCTGCAAATATTTTCCCTGTTTGTCATTTGCTTTCCATTCCATTTGTGATGTATTTACTATAGTCTATGTTGAAAGAAACAACACCAAATTATTAACAGTGAGCCAGTTGATACATTGCATGTAATTTTATTTTCAGATTGATGTGTTTATACATTCTATATATCCACCATCTCTCCTGGACTGAAGATGCTCTGATTATCACAACCTCCTTTCCTGTCCCTACACTCTGTCTGGATGCATGTTGGCACCTCAAAAACTAAAAACAACTACACAGTTTAGCCTTTGAGCTAAACTACCACAATTTTTGAGTTGAATAGCATATAAATTGATAAGTGAAAGTAATAAAAATAGGGACAAAAAAACACCTTAAGGAAGTGAGGCAAAATGATGATATGTTATGATGGGAGAAGCATAAACATTTTATTTACTTTTTCTGTTTTCCAAACTCTCTATCATATGGTTATATTGCTTTTAAAATAAAATAAAAAAAATTTATTTACATTTGGAGTAATTGGGAAAGAAATAGCAATTTTAAAGAATGTTTATTATGACAGTGTTTACATAAGAAAAAACATAAAAAGCCTAAATGCTCATCTACAAAAGGTGGATAAAATTCATTTGATATATTCACCCAATGAGTAGTAATACACATAATGAAAATGGCAGGGTGGATTTATATTCATTGAAATAAAATGAAATTCTTAAAAACAAGTTGTGTATCAGTGTGACCCAATTTAAAATTTTAAAAATATATGTGCTATATACAGGAAGACAAACAAAAAAAAATTGGAATCATATTTGCCAAATATATGGAATTCAAGATTTCACTTTGTGTTCTTTTTTAGTTTTTATACTATCTAAATGTTTCCGAATGTTAGTAATATTTATAATTAAAATCAAGTAAAGCTTATTAATGACCTAGAAAGAAAAAAAAAAGGGTTCACCTTTTGGCCTCACAGCTACCTCAATCCTCCAGAAGCCCTTCTTTACAGTACCATCAAACACAGCCTGGTTGCTGCCTCACCTTCCACCTTTCTCTTCAGTCCTGACCTTGTCTTAATGAGCATGCTCTTGGCTCATGCACAATGCACACTGCTTCAGCCCTGGGCATCTGAACCCACATGCTCTGGCAGAACATTTCCTGCCTGAATTTGTGCTTCTGCCTACCTGACTTGTCCTAAACTTATCTGCCTTTCTGACCCATCCCCAGGCACATCCTGTTGGAGTAGTGCTAACAGAGCCTTTGCCCCAATATAGTTTTTCAGCACACCTGGAAGCATGCACTTTGCTTTAAAATATATATATAAAAAATTGCTTTTTAGTGAAATGGAATAAATTCACTCATTTATCTTCTTAATAATTTAGATGAAATATATCTCTTTCAAACCATGGTACCAAAATTGCTTTTTAAAGTATCATCTAATACATCTTGTTAATTTCTCAAGAAATAATATAATCAGATTCCCTTGTTACTTCCTTCTTAACAAGAAGCTCCTTTCTCCTCTCCATTACCCTTGTAATGTTTGCAAAAGATGACATTAGAACGGCACTCTGTTGCTTTATTTATTTCAAATTAAATGATACCCCAGAGAATGAACAAATCTTCATTTGTAAGCACTACTGATAATAAAATGCACAACTTATGGACACAATAAAATACATACTGTATTTTATAACACTGATGACTTCAGCTTCTCTTTGCTCTGTAAGCACTTAGTTTTGTTACCAGCATCACATAGTTGGCTTTGAAATGACATTATACACCTCTGGGCCATGCTACTGCTCTTGAATATACTGGAACGAGACACTAAAAGCTGCCCAGAAAAGGAATTTCTGAGGATCCTTGGTATTGGGTTGCACTTCATCCCCACTCTCTGATACACCTGCCTGTAGGGGCGAGAGGCTTGGACTCTGCACAGTCCTATCCAATAAGGAAACCACTTTTTCTTCTCAACAAAGCCTTAGTCCATGTGAGACTACTGTAAAAGCTGTTCCTGCTTTACCCACATTCTTTTCTCTCTATAAAGCTTGTTTTATCTTGAGGGAAAAATGAAAAAAAAAAAGTTTCTGACTCCAATTAAGGAACTTGAAAATGATTTCTCATTTGACATACAAGGTCTAAAGTCTAAATTTCAAAAATTGGAAAACTTGATGTTGGCCTATTGTACCTTAGGAACATGAGGAAGAAAAAATGACACATTCAGTCCTGGGCATTTACATAATTTATTTTACTAAAGCTTGCACTAAGTCCCTTGGAGAAAGTATTATTATACTAATTTTACAGATTTTACAGGTAAGATCATGTAGTAGGTAAGAAACAAAGATGGAATTTGAACCCAGCCTGCTTGGTGAAGCATTTATATCCATTCCAAACACTGTGTTTCCTGTTTATTGCTGTAGTTAATTTTCTGACCACATTTTCTTATTAAAGGAACTCACTTTTATTTATTTGACTTGTCAAGTCAGTCAACAAATTTCAGGTGCTCAGTGGCTGCTATCATAGACTAACTGAAGATCAGATGAAGATCAGACTCCATTGGTAAACACATCACAGATCACCTCCACCATCACCACCATGAGAATGACCACTCTTTGAGCACCTACGGTGTGCCAGCATTTTACTATGAAATTAGCACACTGTTTTATTTAACCCTCAAAATAATCTCCACATCAGGAATTGTAAACCACAGATACCTAGCTGTATCAACCATCATTCTCCAGAGAAACAAAAACCAATGAGATGTATACTGAGAGAGAAAGCTTAATTTTAAGAAATTGGCTCATGTGGATGTGGGAGACGGTAAATCTGAAATCCACAGGGCAAGCCTGCAGACGGAAAACTCAGGCATGATTTCTATGTTACATTCTTTCGGCAGAATTACTTCTCCAGAAGACCTCAGTATTTTGCTTTTAAGGCCTTCAACTGGTTGATAAGACCCACCACCCACATTATTGAGGGTAGTTTGTTTTACTTAAAGTCAATTGACCATAGTAAATGTAAACTACATCTACAAAATACCCTTATAGCAACATCTAGACTAGTGTTTGGCTAAACAACTGGATAACAGAGCCAAGCTGACATACATAATTAACTATTGCACTACCCTTCCACTGTAATGCACCATTTTTCTTATTAACATACTATAAATGAGATCACACTCACTGGTTTATTTCTCACGTAGTCCAGTTAGTTTTTGCACCCTACCACCTTCATGCTACCTAAATTTCTATCCCTCAAATTCCAACTCTCTTCAAAGTGTCACCTCTAGTTCTGTTTGTATAAATCATTGCCTGCTATTCATCACAAGATTATCTCATTGCTACATTACTAACAACTTGTAATAGGCATTCTTTTGACCAGTTGAATGTAGCTTTAACTTGTGTACTAAGGCCAACACTTTACCTCAGTTCTACGTCTCCTTTTAACCAAAAAAGCCAAGAAAGGCAAAATCTATTAACTCCTCAGGGCTGTCTGAAAGCCATTTGATGTTATGATTGCAATCATTTGCCTTTAGAAAAGAGTTTTCAAACACATTGTTTTATTTAATAAGTGAAGTGTAACAGTAATCATTATTTTTCATATATTATAGATAAGGAAACAGAAATAAGTAGACTAACTGATTTCCCTTATCTAAACACTGTATGTGACATGAGAGGTCTAGAACCCCAAACCGTTCAGTTAACATATGTCACCGAATGCTGTTATTATTTGTCAGGCTCCGGGCTAGGTGCTGGTATCCACCAATGAACAAAACAGCAGAACACCTGCTCTCATGGAGCCTAAATTCTAGCTAGTAGACAGCAAATAGATACATAGGTAATAAACAAGGTGTCAGATGATGATATATGTTCAGAGAGAAAAATAAAACAGCAATTAGGGTGCATGAGTTCGTGGGTCACTATGCACTATAAGATGGGCAGGAAGTCATCATTTAGAATGCAGCATTTGATCAAGGCCTGAAAGACATGAATGAACAAGCCTTGTGGAAATACTGAGAAGAAGGATGATATGTAGAGGGCAGGTCCTGAGGTAGAAGCTGCCTAGTTTTTTGAGAACTACAGTGGAAGCATTACAACAAGGGGCAGATTAAATTTAGGCTAAGTTGTTGTTGTTCCCATCTTCAGATCCCTTTGCTATAAAATTCTACTATTTGACAAATCTATCTGGAAAGTCACATATGGTCTACCATATGAAACTGTACAATCTACAATCATTAATTTATCTCAAAACATAGGCATTATATTGATTCTTCTTAGATATGATATGAACTTATCCCTCATTCATTAATGGGATTACAAATTGACTGAAGTTACTGGCAACTAAACACATGAAGGATTAATTTGGCTTCTTAGCCAACCAAAAGAGTGACTGTAATTTCTTTAAATCCTTCTTATTCTATGGAATAATTTAGGCTTGGTAGTGATTTGTTTAACATGCATTAAGACTGTGCCATTTTTAAAAAGCTCTTAAGAGAAATTACTTTTTACAATGAAAGTAAATTTGAACAAAAAATTGCATTTTAAATTTATAACTGACCATATCTATATTACAACTTTCTTATTTTTGCAGATAAATTCTCAAAACACATAAATCAATATTAATGGTATCTTATCCTATGAGCCTTATTATATGAGCATCATTTATCTGCAATCTGTGTTCATATACACATTCTACTGGGACATTTTTTAAATGGTGATAGTAGACAGCCTAATCTTATTGCCTTGAGTCGAGTTGAGTCTAGGTAATAAGTTTTACCAATAAAAACTGTGGTTATTACATATAAGACATACCAGTTACCAAGTAAATTCTGCATGTAGAGTATAGTGCTTACTGCCATGGAAGTCATATAAATATAGCAACACATTTTAAGGTGTGTAAGCAAATGGCTGTTCGGGTTTACAGTGGTTTGCAGCACATTTCTCATATATTTCATTTTCCTACTATTTCTTTTAAATCACTACCAAAAAAATGAGGAAGAAGTACGTTCTGTTTCTTCCTTTTCAATTCAGCCAGATGTCTGAACACCACATGTGAAGGAACAAGGATTCCAATGACAAAGAGCCAGACAATTTCTTATGTGGAAGTATTCAAAAAAGAACTTCTTAAAATGCAATTTTTAGGAATCTGAACTTTGTGAAGGTACACAAAGATGTTTCTATATTTCTTAATAAAAACTATGGAGGAGCTGCTTCAAGCACAATAACAATAAATAGCAAAAAGAAACTTTTAAAAATCCTATTGGTCCTGCAGCCTCCTGCCAGTGTCCCACACAATAGCAAATACTTAGGATAAGAATGGCTCCAGTGGAGCAACACTAATACATTTGACACAGCTTCCACCCCGTCATTATGCAGAGGAGCCTGTGCTTATCCCTTTGTAAACTGGAGACTCTTTTAACCAGGAATCCCAAGATGAAACGGAACCATTTTCCTCACGGCAAAACAAATCCTTCTACAGTGAATTTTGTTATTGTTTATTGTTACACTGTTTTATCATCACTAAACTGCATGAAAGCTTCAATTAGTTCTTGATGAATGAGCCCATAAAAGCATGTAGTTTCATTTCCCCTGCCACCAGATATTTCACTGAGTGTTATTAAATGAAATATAATTGGGATAAGATTCAGGAAACTTAGAGAGGCTGTAGTGCTCTCAGTTCAGCCTAAAATGGTTAGTCATCAGTGTAGCTGAATCACATCCAACGCTCTGTACATATAAATTTCCATTGCTTGATCCTGGGGAGAACATAGAGACACTAGATACAGTCTGACGCACAGTCTCTACCCTTCAGTGAGGATAAAGGCTGATGGTAAGGTGCTGAGTTCAATGCTAGGTCAAATAGTTGTTATCTCCATACAGGAGCAAAAAGCATCTGTATCAGTCACACTTCTACACAATAGAATATATCCATTTTATATGTTACATAGCACCTATTTTACTGTTTCAGCAGAGGCCATTAGTTTTCTTATTTCTCCTTAATATAGAAACCCTAATTTCTAGGTAGTTACAGTAACACACAGAATAGAATCTAACTTCTCTGCCTCCCTTCTCTGTGGCCAAGCTGTAGCCAATGAAATGTAGAACTGGCATATACGACTTCTGAGAAAGCTAATTAAAGGAAACTGACTCAGTTCAGTGCAGCCTTTTTGAAAACCCTTCCTACCTTTCTTCCTTTTTCTGGCCTTCAATGCATAAACTTTGAATGCATCCAGCATCTGGATGTGACCCTACGATGAAAATAACATGGTATGATATGAGTGCAGAAAAATAGAAGCCTGAGTAGCCGAAGATATTGTGAAGCTATCATGCAAGCCTCCAAGTGCTTTCCTAGCTAGCT
Source organism: Homo sapiens (assembly GCF_000001405.40). Classification (NCBI taxonomy): domain Eukaryota; kingdom Metazoa; phylum Chordata; class Mammalia; order Primates; family Hominidae; genus Homo; species Homo sapiens. The sequence continues at coordinate 97,849,998 of NC_000006.12, read as the reverse complement.
CTTAATTCATGCATGATACTCTGCTCTTTTGATAGAAACACTATAATAGGCAATGAAATCCAACCATAACTGAGACAACTGGGGATTCTTAATGTATGTTTCAATAATGGAATACCACTACTATGTGTTGGTCTTTCTGTGAAACATTTAATATATTCTCACATGTCACCTTTAAAACAAACCTGTAAGTTAAGTGCTGTTATTATCTCCATTGTATAGAAAAGAAAAATAAATCACAGAGCCATTCAGCACATAGCCTGGTTGGAGGAGGTAAGAATGGGGAGAGGGACCAGAACTCATACATTCAGTTGTTTCTATTTTAATTCACCAAATAATATTTTATACTTACATCATGTGCTGTTAGGAACTGCTCTTAAGTGCCAGAGGTCAGATCACTGACCTCATTGAGCAAATATACTCTAGGACAGTTTCAATAATTTTTAACTGTATTATTGGAACAGAGGTTTATAAAGTGTGGTCTGTGGACCTTTTCGTCACCCAAGACACCTTTGGGATGTGGGATGGGAACACAAAGTCAGAAATATTGTTATCATAATACTAAGACGTTACTTACTTTTTCACAGTATTCACAATTGCACTGATGTTACAAAAAGCAATGGTGGATAAAACTCCTAGCTGTTTGCACCAAACTGTACTAGTAGTCGTTGTACAATATTTCTCCCCACCACATATCCACAGTTACTTATCCAAATAACTAAACTAATTAATTAAAGGATTTCTCTTAAGAATGTCTTCAGTGAAGCAGTAAAAATTTGCAATTTGATGAAATCTTGAAACTTGAATATACATCTTTTCAGTATCCCATGTAATGAAATTAGAAGTACACAAAAAGTAGTTTTGTTATGTATTGAAGTATGATGGTTCTTTGGAGGAAAAGCACTTGGGCAACTGAATCACAGCTAAACTAGCTAGTCTTTCATGGAGTATCCTTTTACTTGAAAGAATGACTGACAAATTATGGATATTCAGATACGGATATTGAGCAGATATTTTATGGAAAGTGATTGAAGTGTCAGAGAAAGAAACCAACAATATTTGCTGCTAGTGATAAAATTTGAACTTCCCAATACTTAACATTTTTTGATGAAACTGATGGTGATATTAACAAATGTTAATAAAAACAAATATTTTGTTTTGATATTTGGAACATCTGAATACCTCTGTGAACCAGTACTTTTCAAAAGACCAACATATGATGTTATAAATTTAAGTATGGGTCCATTCAAAGTTCATAAGATCCCAATGGATTTTAACAAAATATGAAACATTGATTGATATGATTTCAGGTTTCACATTGTAACCTTTAAAAAACAACCACTTCCTGAGTTTTGGTGTGGTATCAAAGAATACTTGCAATTATCCGTAATGATAACTACATGTCTGTGTAAGGCCAGAGATTCTTCATATACTTCAATCATGTCTGGCAGCAGATGAAATGAAGGCACAGATATCAGAATTTACTATTGTCTATTAATTTAAACATTAAATTGATTTGCAAAAATGTTAAGCAATGTCATTCCTGTCATTCTTTTTCTTTTTTGGGGGGGGATAGTTATTTTCATAAAAAATGTTATCTATGTTTGCATATAATGGGTTTAGTGCCATTATTTTAAGTTAACTGTTTTAGAATATTTAATTATTTTCTAAGTTTTGATGTCTAATATGCAAACAGTCACAAATATAACCCACAAAAGTATTCGGATCAGAAAGTTTAAGAAGCACAGGTCTAGAATACAGCCCTTCATCTTCATTAGTTGTGCATTATTCCTGACACTAGAAGAAATCTCATTTTCATGGTGGAAAATTTACTGTGAAGCAGAAAACCAGTTCTTCAGACTGGTTATTTTATCTGTATGGGGCCCATAGCATGTCTTATGAGCTTGCCTCAGATCTCCAGGTAACCCAGAAAGACTCAATAAGAGAAAAAATTTGTTAGTGTAAATTTTGTGGCCTATCACTACACAAACCTCTTATTTAGAATGAAAAATGAATACAGAAGGATTACCTTATGATTCCTGATTTTCACACCATTTTTGTCAAGACTGAACATATTTTCTAAAACTCTACTGAGGCATCCATTTAACAATTTAGTTTCACATATTACTATTAACTTTTCGACTATCTCCTCAAAATTAAAATAATGTCAGTCATCTAAACCTCATTTTTATATATTAAAACTTATTTAATATCAGGATAATATTACCTTCTTAGGGTTGCTGTAAGATTTAAAAGAGATACCAAGTATATAAATATCCAAAACACCTGGAACATAACAAGTGCTGAAGTATTTTGGTATTCTTGTGATGCTTTCATTTTCCTGGCCCCCGTAGTTCCTCTAATCATAAAATAGCTCTCATCCACTGTGCTGGCCATTAAAACATGCCCCACAGATCTCTTATAACTGCTGCTAAAGGTCATCGACATTTGGCCTTAGCTTGCATTGCAGCCACAGCGTTTGCACTGAGGCTGTGCTTCCCACAGGCTGCTCCCATTCTTGGGAAATGACCATTCTCAAGACTCTTATAAGAGAAGTGTTAAGAATTCAGAAAATCATGTTGTTCAAAGTTATAGAGCTAAAATGCTGATCATGTTTAAGTGATTTTTGTTAGTAGGTAGAAGTTTGTCTTGGGAAATAGAACTACAGACATTTTTAAAATGGTTTTAGCTGATTATAAGTAAAAGGCAGCAAAATGTAACATCAGTTAACCCAGAACCTTTGCAACCACAATTTTAATTCCAAGATTCAAACCCATTATATTTTGTGCATGGTATCTTTGAACTATATTTACATTTTAGATGGTAATATAAACTTTTATTATATATTATATTGAGTTCTATTCCATAACATTGAAGTCTTATACACAGTCACACACACACTAAACACATGATTTTGGCCCTTTTTCAAATGTAGAATGGCATCATCATCTTGCAAAAACAAATAATTGAGGGAGAGAAAAGAAAAATTTACCTAACCCACTTCCTGCTCCTGATCCCCATAATCTCAAAATTAATGTACTCTGAATCAGCTTCCCAAATGTTTTCGGAAATAGAATACCATAGATAGGATTCAAATCATATTTTTTATTATAATCAATACATAGACTAACTGTATGGATAATAATAAAAAGTAAAAATGAAAATAAACTATTGCTGCAAATATTTTCTGTACACTGTGTTTATATTAGTATTTATGCATTCCATAGATTTTCATATACTTAATTTATTTGTAATTTTAACATTAGCTTATACCCAAAACTCTCACAGCCCAATGAAATTTCATATTAAGATAAAAAATATTCTTTGATTACATAAAAATTGCTGAAGTGGGAAATAGTGACAATCACATAATTAATAACATTGATGACACCCAGATGCAATGGCTCATGTCTATAATCCCAACACTTTGGGAGGCTGAAGTGGGAGGATGGCTTGAGGCCAGGAGTTCAAGACCAGCCTGGGCAACGGAGCAAGACCCCGTGTTTATTTTATTTATTATAAAAAGTAATGATGATGATTATAGTTATAATGGCATTCATCCGTTTTCACAGAGCTTTCTCTGATATTAATGTAGTCTCACAATATCTGTCAGGTGGATAAAGCAGATAAACCCTTTTTCCTAAAGAAAAAAGCACAATCAAGAAGACTTATCCTCAGAAAACTTGTTCTCCTGACTTGTAGGCCCCTCCTCTAAATGACAAATAATGTGAACTAAGTGAAAGACTGCTGTTACATAATGCAACTGCATAGGGTTCTGTTCAATATTCATATATTATTTTCCCCCAGGTCCTTGTATTAGATTTTAAATATACACATATGAAGTTTTTAATACCAATGTTTTAAATTGATAATTAGATCTTGCAGCATTTTACTTATCAGTTAAAATGGTGCAAGTGAAATGGGAACATTTCAAAAGTAGATTGGACATTAACAAGTCAGTTCTTTCCAACTTAATATAGATTCAGTACAATCCTAAGAAAAAATCCTAGCATGTTATCTTGTGACTATCAATAAAATGATTCTACCGTTTATATGGAGAGGCACAAGACCCAGAATAGCCAACATACTGAAGGAGAAGAACAAAGTTGGAAAACTGACACTGTGCACCTTCAGGACTTACTATAAAGCTACAATAATCAAGACAGTGTGGTATTGGTAAAGGAATAGACAGATAGAGCAGTAGAAAGGAATACAGCTCAAGTGTAGAGCCACATAAATATAGTCAACTGATCTTTGACAAAGGAATAAAGACAATACAATGGAGCAAAGATAGTCTTTTCAACAAAATGGTGCTGTAACAACTGGACATCCATGTGCAAATATATGAATCCATACCTTCATCCAACAGATCTGACATCCATCATCAAAATTAATTCAAAATGGATCATAGACCTAAATGTGAAGTATAAAACTGTAAAACCCCTAGAAAATAACATAGAAAAATCTAAATGACCCCTGGTTTGGTGATGATTGTGAAGTACAACAATGAAGAAAAAAACCCATGAAAGAAATAATTGAAAAGCTGAACTTTATTAAAATTAAAAACATCTGCTCTGTAAAAGACACTGTTGAGAAGATGAAAAGATAAGCCATAGATGGAGGGAAAATATTTGTAAGAACATATCTGATAAAGAACTGTTATATAAGACATATAAAGCAACCTTACAACTTAAGAAAACCTGAGTTTTAAAAGTTCCAAAAATTAAAAAATATCTTACCAAAGAGGATATACAAATGGCAAACAAGCATATTAAAAGATGCTCCATTACATATGTCATTCAAAAAATGCAAATTTAAACAACAGTTAGATAACACAACACACCTAATATGATGGCCAAAATCCAGAACACCAACACCACCAAATGCTGGCAAGGATATAGAGCAACAGAAATGTTCATTCATTGCTGATGGGAATACAAAATGTTGCAGCCACTTTGGAAAACAGGGCGGCAGTTTCTTTAACAACTAAACATACTCTTGCCAATTGAGCCACTAATTACCTGCCTTCGTATTGACCCAAAGAAGTTTTTTTGAATCCACGTAAAAACCTGCACGTGATGTTTACAGCAGCTTTATTCATAATTGCCAAAACCTGGAAGCAATCAAGGTGTCCTTCAGTAGGTGAATTGATAAATAAACTAGTACATCCAGATAATGGGATATTATTCAGTGCTAAAAGGAAATGAGCTATTAAATCATGGAGAAATATGGAGGAATTTTATATGCATACAACTAAGTCTAAGAAACCAGTCTAAAAAGACGTACTGCATGATTCCAACAATATGACATTCTGAAAAAGGCAAAACTATGGAGACAGTAAAAAGATCATTGGTTGCCAGGGATTGGAAGGAGGGAGGGATGAATAGGTGGAGCCCAGAAAATTTTTAGAACAGTGCAAAAAACTACTCTGTATGCTACTATAATGGTGGATACAAGTCATTATATGTTTTTCCAAACCCATAGAATGCACAATACCAAGAGTGAGACCCGAATGTAAACAATGGACTTTGGGTGAAAATGATGTGTTAATGTAGGATTATGGATTGTAACAAATACACCACTCTGGTGAGGGATGTTGATAATGGGGAAGGCTATGTAAGTGTGGAGGCAGTGGGTATATAAAGAAATCTCTTTATTTCCGCTCAATTTTGCTATGAACCTAAAACTGTTCTAAAAATACAGTCTATTTTAAAAAAGTAGATTACGCACCATCTGCATAACATTTTAAAATTAAAATCTTGAGGATTGGGTACTGGAAGCAGTATTTTGTAGAGCTTTGGGACTTTTCCTTCAGAGCCTTCATAATGCTGTTGGGCTTGTACTTTAAAGGACTTCATTTTGCTAAGGGGTGGCATGTTTCCCACTTTGAAGATTCTGACATGTTTTAATGGTCCTGTCTTTGAAGAAATGAATGTCTGTGGGATTCCCTGATGAGAAAGTTTCCTATTCAGGGAGAAAGAGATACTCTGTTGAAGTTATTTACCAGATTATGGTTTTAACCCTGGAGACAGTCTAATCCCTGACAGGGTTATCATCTTTTTGAAAATATTAATATGTTTGGAAAAGGTTCTACTTCTGAAGAAATTCTTACTGCTGGAAGGAGGCTATCTTTAAAATTTTAGCAGGTTGTTGTTTTCAAGGATGCTCTGTAGCATAGGACAAGTTCACTGAGAGAACATTAAAGTAAAAGGTGATGTATTCTATAGGCATTTCCTTACAGAAGTCTATGAAAATCAGAATAGAACTAGTGTTTGTCAAATATAGAACATGAAGCATGTAACAAATGTTTTTATTTATTTAACAAAGTTAAAATGTTAAAATCCACATGACTAAAAATTATGTGTATGCCTTTATTGGTCAACATTTATATGTTGGCAGTTCAAATATATAAAAGCATTCACATGAACAAGGATAAGCATTAGGTCTGGTATTGATCTACTGAGGAAGAAAAAAAATGTTCTTTATCAACTGTCTTTCTGTATTCCATCTCTAAGACTCCAAACATTTCCAAAGACAACCTGATGCAAAGATCCCCCATTTGGAAAATTCATGAGTAAACTAAAGGAAGGTGAAAGGAATGGAAGAGTTGTAATGATAAACATTTTGATATCATTTTCTATAGATAAAAGAAGAATAAAAAGGGATAAAAATAAAGGAAGAAATAAACAAGGAAATTACACACATATTATCTCACTTACTTCCCTATCGGATGTGAAACACAATGAAGAAAGAGTCACAAAAATGGGGTTGGGGGAGTAATGAACTTAATAATAAGTCTAACTTTACTAAAAACAGCCAACCAAATCCCAATGATTATTTCAGTAACATGTGATTTACAAGTTTTTTCCTCTATTTTTATGATTCGTCATGTGTTTTCTATGAGAAATTATTTAATCTGAAAATATTTTTATGGAACACAGAAACCTCTAGAAGAAATATCCTCAGTGTACTTACATAAATCCATGAAATACAATAAATGTGAGGGAGTAGAATTTGATGTTAATCAATGGCTTTACTGACAGTAAATGTATTTAATCTATAATTTGCCCCCAGACTATTTTGCAGTTGTATCTCCCCTGATCATTTCACACAGTCTCCAGCTAAACTGAAGCCCTAATTATCCTGAGCACAATTCTGTACACCATTGCTCATCTAGTCTCCCTCTCCTAGAACACCATGCCAAACTTCACCCTAGCCATAAAGGATCAAGCCAAGTTCTACTTCCTCCTTGAAGCCATCCATGACATCAGAATCCACTGGACATCTGGCCTGCAGCAGTATATCTTCTTGTGTATCCATTGGTCCAAGTCTACTAGGTCCCATTTCATCAATTAGATTTTAAACTGCCTTGGGAGGAAGAATTGGAATGCTTTACGAAACTTTGCTTTAATCCAAATGCCTTAGAATTTTTTCGATTTGAATAATATATTTAGCCCACTTTTAGAGAAAACAAATACTGTATTTCTAAAATGTTTTATAATCCCATTTAAATATATTTGTGATAAAAACCCAAAACAATTAGAAATTTTTTTAAAAATCAAATTAAAAAATTCAAATTTGTATTATTTTTCAAAAATGTTTTGGCATTAAGTCAAAAAGTGATGTTTAGTTAATTGCAGAAAGAAGTAGGCACAGATCTAATTCTAAATATGCATGGCTTTGTATTTCAAAAGTCTAATATTTAATGGAGAGAATCCCTGCTCACACGTGTTGTACAAAGTGGGATTAATGGCTTCAGTGTTTTGCTAGTTCAAGAGAACCTAACATTGTACGTAATCATTATCTTGCCAATTTTAATAAGGTATTGCTTGATAACTCTTTAAAGCTGTATTTTTCCTTTGAATAAGATGGAATAAGATGTTCACATTGCTATTTTTTCTTTTTCTACTTTTATTTTTCTTCTTTTCTTTTTTTTTTTTGAGATGGGGGTCTTGGTCCATTGCCCGAGCTAGATTGCAGTGGCATGATCACAGCTCACTGCGGCCTCCAAACATCTGGGATCAATCAGTCCTCTTGACTCAGCTTCCTAAGTAGCTGGGACTACAGGCACACACCCACCACCATGTCTGGCTTTTTCATTGTGCATTCATTACTCGCTGTTTTTAAAACTTGTTGCACATACAGTTGGTTCTACTTATTGTTATCTATTGCTTAATTTAATGTGATTCTATTGACAGAGCAGCCATCTTTGATCCAGAGGTTTACATTACATGACTGCATGTAAATTCAATTTCCCCCAACTTTCCTTCATTTGGTACAATACAGAATTTGTTCATATAGCAAACCATGATTTCTTATGAAAGAAAATAAAATGGAAATCACATACAAATTTGGGTACTAAAATTTCATGACAGAGCTTGGTGCTCAATCAGATGATCTAAAACACAATTAATTACAATATTAGGGTTATCACTGGAATGAAAACATAAAATTAATTGAAATTCTGATACAGAATTTCTGGCATAAATAGCATAACTGCTGTATGAATAGTATATATTGCAATAGTATATATGTATATGTGTATGTGTGTATATATGTAAATATACGTATAAAATAGTTGATGACTAATTAATCTACATGCATGTGTATATTGTTTTGAAAGAAGATTGTAAATAGATATAAAATAATAGGTTTATTATTCTATTCTTTTAAGGGCCTTAAAATTTAGTGGTAAAGATAGTGGTAAAATTGAGTGGTAAAGATAGAATTACAGTACTAAAAAAAAAAAAAAAAGGAGAGTCGTTTAAAAAAATGAAAATTAGAATGCTACAACTCTACATTCTCAAATTATTTTAAGAAGGGAATTCTTTTCCAAGAAAATATTAAGAAAAAGGGAAAACAAATTATGACTTCTTCTGAAATCTTTCTTGATTTGCCCCACTGCCTCTCTACAAAATTATTCTTGCTCCTTCAGAATCCACTTCCTAACTTTATCCATTCTCATCTGACTTCTAGAACCTTGATTCAAAGAGCTCTAAGGTTAACAATGATCTTCAGTCACTAAATCTGATGAACACTTGTTAATTTCAACAGAATTTGACGCTACTGACCACTCCTGCCTTAAAAATCTTTCTTCTGCCTTTCTTAGTTTCCTTGACCTATCTTCTGATTTCTGATTTTTTTTCTTTATTCTCCCTTTTCTAAGATCACTCCTTCTATCCAACCATCAATGTTGTAGCTCTTCATAACTTGGTGTCATGCCTCTTCTTATTTTATATTTTCTTTAACCTCACACATGCATGTATTCAGTTAACATTCCACCTCTTCATCCCATCCTAGATCAAACGTGATTTCTACCCAGTAAGGAAGTCTGAAACCTCTGAGTCACACTAGAAATCTTGCACCCTTTAATGTACATATCTAATGTAGCAGCGAATCCTAGCATTTTATATTATACGTATTAATCACATCACCTTAGTCCATCATCTTAGCTGCACTGCTAGTTACCCACATTCACCCTGACCTCTGAGCTATCTTTCCAGTGTGTAAATCTTGTTTTGTCACCCACTTAACTAAAGTTAAGTCAGTGGTTTCCTAGTGGCCATAGGACTAAAAATTAACCTGATTAATATGGCCTATAAGGGTGGACATAATCAAATCCCTCCTTACTCCTCCAGCCTTATCTCACCAAAGCCCAGTGTCCACTCTTTAACCTGTAGGCATGCTGGCTTCTAGCACCTCAGATTCATTTGTGTTCATCTCTCTCCCTCAGTGCCCTGGACTTCCTGGATTTTTATTTCAAGTAATTTTGTGTGGAAACATATGTATTCTGGAACTGAAAACGTCTAGATTTGAATCCCAGGTCTATTTGTTATCTCCTATGTGACCTCTGTGCATTATAAAACCGTTCTCAATCTTAGTTTCCACCTCTATGAATTATAGCTAATATTTCCCATACAAATGTCTTGGGAAGATTAATATCATGCCACATTACTTACTTCCCAGCCTTGAAGTGGAATTAAGCCTGATGTATCATCTAGCTCCAGGGTATGTCAACATCGTAGGTATTTAATAAGTTGTTTAATGAATGAAAGTAAAAACACAGGAGAAGGGAAGGGGAAGAGAGTAGTGGAGGGGAAGGAGGAGGAAGGAAAGGTAGAATGAATGAGAAGAAAGGAGAGAATTTCTTCTTTCAATTTTCAACTTCTCTGCAAACAACAGGTGACTTTGACTTGAACGAACTGTTCATGAAATGTACTAAGAAAAATACAGCTGATGAGATTAAAAGGACAAGATGGAAGAGGGTGGAATAGCGTCATTCTAATACAGTAAGGAAAAAGGAAACATTGCAGATGTGTGAGAGATTATTCCCGCTTTTGTACCTAAAATAGATTATAGCATGAAAAGGATGAGAGGAGAGACTGGATGTGAAGTAATGAAAGTATAACTGGGCTCAGTGTGGTTGTCAGAATGAAAATGGGGAAGTAAATGCAGAAATATTATAGAGAAAATTGTTCAATATTATTTCTAAGCTGACTGTGAGGAATAATGTTGAATGAACAGATCAAATAACTACAGAATATCATTCTCCAAGTATATTTTCCTCTTTCCCAACTCCTTTTATTTCTTCATACTGCACAGCCTAGACAGCTGGGAGAGTAGTGATGAGGTTAATGGGAGCTATGGAATAGTGAATGGACAGCTTTTTCAGGGTGGAAGATGTATATATGACATAACACATTTAGCTGATTTCTAAGAACAGGTAATTTCAATGCAGCTGTGAAGATTTAACTAGGCCAGGGATGGGAACAGAAATGCGAGAGTTAGCTATATGTACTTAGTAATGAAAATCACTTAAAGACCCTTGATAAGTAATTTTCCAATTACAAAAACCCTAAAAATAATTATCTCAAAGGAAAGGAGGTGTGATTGTGAGGGAAGGCAGGAGAGAGCAGATGTGGATGACACAAAGGAAAGAGGGGAAATCAACGTACAGAGAGAAGCATTAATGAAATATGGTTAGATAGAATGAATAAGATCTAGTATTTGATAGCACAACAGGGTGACTACAGTCAATAATCACTTATTGTGCATTTAAAATTAACTAAAGAATATAATGGAACTGTTTGTAACACAGAGAAATGCTTGAGGTGATGAATACCCTATTTACCCTGATATAATTATTACTCATTGCATGCCTAGTATTAAAATATCTCATTTACCCCATAAATATGTGCACCTACTCTGCACCCAAAAAACTTAAAAATTAAGAAAAATAAAAATGAGGATCGGGGTTATGTTACAGATGTCTAATACTAGCAAAGTTACAGGTATTTTACTTCTTAAATTTTTTATTATTTTATTTTTCCATAAGTTATTGGGGTACAGGTGGTATTTGGTTACTTAAGTTCTTTGGTGGTGATTTGTGAGACCCTGGTGCACCCATCATCCAAGCAGTATACACTGCACCATATTTGTTGTATTTTACTCCTCTTCCCCCTCCCACTCTTCCCCCCAAGACCCTGAAGTTCATTCTATCACTCTTATGTCTTTGTGTCCTCATAGCTTAGCTCCTACATATCAGTGAGAACATACAATGTTTGGTTTTCCATTCCTGAGTTGCCTCACTTAGAATAATAGTCTCCAATCTCATCCAGGTCACTGCACATGCTATTAATTCATTCCTTTTTATGGCTGAGTAGTATTCATATATATATATATCTGAGTTTCTTTATCCACTCATTGATGGGCATTTGGGTTGGTTGCACGATTTTGCAATTGTGAATTGTGCTGCTATAAACATGTGTGCAAGTATCTTTTTCGAATAATGACTTCTTTTCCTTGGGATAGATACCCAGTAGTGGGGTTGCTGGATCAAATGGTAGTTCTACTTTTAGTTCTTTAAGGAATCTCCACACTGTTTTCCATAGCAACTGTTCTAGTTTACAGCCCCACCAGCAGTGTAGAAGTGTTCCCTGTCCACCGCATCCACACCAATATCCACTGTTTTGATTTTTTTATTATGGCCATTCTTGCAGGAGTAAGGCGGTATCGCATTGCGGTTTTGATTTGCATTTCCCTGATTATTAGTGATGTTGAGCATTTTTTCATGTTTGTTGGCCATTTGTATATCTTCTTTTGAGAACTGTCTATTCATGTCCTTAGCCCACTTTTTGATGGGATTGAATGTTTTTTTCTTACTGATTTGTTTAAGTTTATTGTAGATTCTGGATATTAGTCCTTTGTCAGATGTATAGATTGTGATAATTTTCTCCCACTCTGTGGGTTGTCTGTTTACTCTGCTGACTGTTCCTTTTGTTGTGCAAAGGTCTTTAGTTTGATTAAAAGCTCTTTAGTTTAGGTCTTAGCTCTTTATCTTTGTTTTTATTGCATTTGCTTTTGGGTTTTTGGTGATGAAATCCTTACCTAAGCCAATATCTGGAAGGGTTTTTCCAATGTTATCTTCTATAATTTTTATAGTTTCAGGTATTAGGTTTAAGTCCTTAATCCATGGTGAGTTGATTTTTGTATAAGGTGAGAGATGGTGGGCGGGGCGGGACGCAGATGGGGTAAACATGTGTCAGTCTGATCCCCAGACGCTTTTACCTCACTGCACTTGGAGGAATAAGCAATTTGAATAGAGAGAAACATAGAGGCTCAACTTCAAGAATTTTAGATGTGGAAATCCCTATGGGAAAGGACTTGAGAATGTTTAATATACCTTATAGAGTGGAGAGAAATATAAGCTGCCTTCTTTAAAGCAGGTGTGGTAATTCTGTCTCAAAGAGTTTCTAAAGTCTTACCCAAACTGAAGGTCTTAAGAATGAATATGCATCTTTTAGTTGATTCTTTTATGTTGTTTACTCTTCCTAGTTTAAATTTCAAGTAATTTTATGCTTGCATTTCTTATGAACAACACACTTTAAATTATTTTCAGTTTTTTTTAAATGGCAGATTTAGTTATATATTTATAGTTAAATCAAAATGCATACATTGCAGAATATTTTAATGCCACCCCAGTGGAAAAAAAAGATGGCATAAAGAAATACATGTAATACTAACTATTTGACAATTTTCAAAGAAATCGAGTTTGCTTTGGCTTTTTCAAGGGATGATTCCCTAAGGACAAACATGTAAGAATCAATGCAAATGGTCACTAAGGCTGTTTTTGTTCTGCATTTCAGGCTTAAAATATGCTAAGCAAATAGAGTAAGATGCTGAAAAAATATATACTCTATCCTGATTAATGGATGCTATAGATATCTTTTTGCTTTGTCTGCTTGGTTAGCTTTGTTTCAAATATGATACAGATCTCATGCTGCACGGCAGATCCAGAAATAGTCCATGTTCCTTTAAATTCAGTCAATGCATCATTTTCTATTACAGTGTGTCACACCAGTCTATGACTGTAAAGCACGACTTATGTGGATATGGACCAGTAGGTGAACTGGTCCCAACAAATGTACAATTTGAAGATCCAAGTAAAATAGTCTCATGAAAAAATATTTTTTAAAATAGAATCATAAATAATATATAAGACTTCTGAAGGGTGCTGTTTCTTATTTACTTAAAAAAATCAACATTCCACATAATATTTTCAAAATCTCTAAAAAATACATCTTGACCATATGCATTTATATGATCTAGTTCTTAGAAAAACAGAAACTTTCCTATGTCAAATTTCACCTTTGTTTTATTCAAATATTAGTTATGAAAAAAATAAATAATGCAGGAGAGTCTCTTTTCACGTAATTTATGTGTAACAAAACAATAATGGGAGACGTTAAAATGGAGTCAGAGAAAAGGCTTTCAAAGATAAGAAATTGTGTTGGTTGTAAAAATCAGTATTATTCCAGTGAGGCCATAAGGGCAATGTGAGCAAAGACATAAGACAGTTAAATTGCTATATCATTATTATTACCATGATCATTAATTAATATTTATTTTCCCTGATCTTCTAGGTATTGCAGAGAGTTTCAAGATGGACATAGTTTTAAGATAGATATCATTCCAAACAAGAGAGAATACACAACAAATTTAAAACACACTTGAGGATACTATAAAGGAACAATTAATGAAAGATGGAAATAATAGGTGGCAATTTAGAATGTTGCAAAACTAAACTTTTCTGCAATACTGAAATCTGATTATTTAGAAATATTTAACCAAATCGAATATTAGAAGTGTGCTTAAATAAAATTGAGAAGAAAATGAGGGAGATTCCAGGTATAGAGGTAGTAAGGGAAGTCAGTCAGGGAAACTGGCAGTTTTGGTAAACTATTATTATAAAATTTCATACATAGTGTGTTATTCATGAGCTTTTACAACAGCCTTCTTTGAGCATCCAGATATCTCTAATCATGCCCCTAAAACCTCCCTTGCAACTTTGAGAAAGAATGTTAGATGTAGAAAGTCCATAAATTATGCAGCAAGAAGAAAAAATATACAAGCTGGAAGGGACACCAAATATTAGAATCTTAGTAATGCATATTTGGAGAAGAAGATAGCCACATTAATTCATTAACCATTTTTCATTCAATAAACATCAGTTATCAACTATGTATTAGGAAGTGTTCAGCATTCCAGTGCTGAGACATATTGAAGCTTGAGGTAAAAGGAAAAATATGCCCTTCGGTATACACTTATTATCAAAGTATCTTCCCATATTTTGAACTCAGTGAGAAAAGTTAATGAAGACTCTGCAGTCACAAGCAAGATTATACACAAAACTCCACATTGCCCAATCTGTTTGCATGCCATGTTCAACCCTTGTAAAACTAACTGGTGAGGGTTGCAGCACTTGCAGGACTCAGGGACCATGGCCTGGTTGGAAATGACTGTTACCACAATATGTGTATAATAATGCAGGGTTATAAAAAAAAATCTGTCTTATTTTATATCTAAAATATTTTAAATTTTAAATTTTGGTATTTTATTTACCATGAATTTTTTGCATTCATTTTTATTTTTAAAATGTTATATCTAAATATTCTTTATCTTGACTTTTGAATATTTTAGTGCTTCCTTAAATTTTACATACCTTTGGCTTCCCCATAATCCAGATTTGGGGTTCAGACACAAATTATTAATACAAAGTAGAATACAACAGGGTGTCTGCTCTTAAAGAACTAAAGCTGTAGTACGCATTTCATTTCCAAATGAATATCCACTAGCCTATAGTCTTTTTCCTCTCACTCTACTATTTATTTTGATGTTCACTTTTACCTCTTCATTTTCATTATTTTCTATCTCCTTTAGTTGGATTTTTCAATTCCTGCACAATTTTTAAAATATTAAGATCTTTAATTAAAATATTCTCAGAGAATTTCATAATACTACTCAGATGCCTTAAACATAGTATTTAGAACACGAGTTAATCTTACAGATAAAGACATCTCATTATTATAAGCATGAACTATTGTAAGGCAATGCCTTGAACAGCTTTTAAACTATTGCACTGGCTCCTGTGCTAAACAACCATAGATTTGTACAGTCCTATTTGCCTACCTACTTTTGCTGTTTGATTTCTCTTTCCCTACTACCACTTTACTCAACACATACTTACAGACCATCAACTGTTGTAGGGGATGCCAAGCTAAGCATTACTAGTGGTACACAAGACTTTGTAGTTATATCTGCTCCTAAAAGTGCCCTCTTTTTTTTTCTTTCTCACTTGATATTTTGAATCTGCCATCAGCTTGGAAAATGAATAAGCATAATAATAAATCCTGAGTGGGAGTCTGGGGACCACCTCAGAGTGGCATACATGGACTTTCATTAAATGGGCTTTGTGATTATTGCAACTCTTTTATAGCTTTGGGTAGCCCATCTCTGGATTTACAACTGTTTTTCAGAAAGTTGAATAATAAGTCAGTTATTGGGATGAGTGAAACTTCATAAGCATGGATTCTATGAATAGTTTATAAATTTAATTGATCATTTATGCCATTTCTACTGTGTATGGACAACTACATTTTCAGAAAATGTCTAGTGAACTTAAGTTCAAAGATTTTTCATGAAGCATTCGTTATTAATTATAACCAAATATAATTATTTTAGACTGATAGTTCACCATCTTTGTTATCTGTATTGTACAGCCCAACAATGATTTTTATTAAATTAACAATTGAAAGTAATATTGTAAATTATTTTCTATTGGTTTTAAATAAACTTATTCTTTACCTGATTTTTAAGGTGCTGATTGGTAAAGGTCTTGAGACAAATTTACTTTGCATAATCAATAGTAGATACTGTGATAGGGATATGGTAAATGCTGATGATTTATTGAATATTCGGATGTGATATATTATTTCAAAAAAGGTATGATAAGCAGGCATATTTGCTCTAACAACTGAATTAAACACTTAAATATACAAATTTTCTTTAATAACATGAATACTTTAATATTCAAGTCACAGAAGTTGATCACCGATATCTTACTCAACATATTAGACTTCAGTGAAGGAAAGAACTGGGGTCCTAGTGTTTACTGAATGTATACTGTGTACTTGGCGCAGAGGACCATACTGCAGGAGTTAACAGCACAGGATTCTTGGCTTGATTACCAGCCCTGCCACATACTAGTGGATGAATTAACCTCTCTATGCTTCTGTTGTACCAGTCATTGGGATTATTATAGTAATGTATATCTCATACAATTATTGTGAGGAGTAAATGAGCATATGTAAACAGTGCCCACAGAGGCAAGTGCTCAGAAACTATTAGCTACTGTTATTTTATCTATAATCTCACTTATTACTTATTTCAATACTTTGAGATTGATGTCATGCCCACTTTGTTTGGAAAAGGAAACCCAGATCCAAACATATATCATTTATCTGTCCCAGTATCCCTAAAACTGAAACTTACATTTGATTATTGTGAAGTGTGACTGTAGCTAATTCAAGGATATTTATGCAATATCTTTGTTTTATGTTTTTATATTATTCAAGTTCCTAAACTGAGAGAACTGCAAAAATAAATAAAATATGGTTTACCTGTTAATTCTGACCATAGCCTAGAATTAATCAACTTTAAGAAAGGAGAAAAAAACCCCAAAATCAAAAAAGAAATTTAGAAAAAGATAAAAAGATAGAAGAAGCTGATCAAACAGGCTTGCTTTCATTCCAAAGTTAAAAGTTCAAGACAAAAAGCATAGCTTTTATTTATATTTCTTGCTCACTTTCCTAATCTCACTTCTGTCTTTTCCACTGGTTTTCTTGTGACTCTTCATGTGCTGTTTGCTAAGCATATTGTACCTCTCTTTTCCAGTATACCTTAATTTCTGGTCTAATGCATCTTATTGGTTTATATCATAACCTTAGCATCATTGCAAAAATGGATGTAATGGTTTCCTGTACAATAGGAAAACAAATTAACCCCTTGAAAACTGCCTCTTTACCATGTTAATCAGCAATTCCATTACTAACAACTGCACATCCATGCATTTTGGTTGAGTGAGCATCTGTCTCCTGGTTTGTTTCTTGTCAAATTTACAGATTATTCTGCATAACTTTTCACCCTGAATCTCCACTCTACATGACACAGGTAAAAAAGCACACTGCCAAGTGCAACACTCTTTCTTTAGAGAGTAAGCATGCGGTGCAAATTCATGCTGTGAGGATCTGCAAAGCTCCTTGAACCTATGAACAGGTGTGAAAAATGTGGTGGCAATCTGGAAAAGCATCTTTTAGAAAAGCATTTTTTAGACTATTGTATTATGTAGGCAACAATGAAATTGTTTACCCACAAAACAGCCATTCATAATACTAATATTTTTAATGTGAGGATATAACTTTGGAATTTAAGTCTATAAACAGTCTCCATTAGAGAATGCACAGGTAAATAATTAAAAAGTCAAAATCAGAATACCAACAATAGCCACATATTTTATACATAAAAAATATCTGCCTTCTTCAGTTTGTATCACAAAAAGAAATATTTCCTTGTAGCAGCTGAAAACAGTAGAATCCAGATCCTGAATATTTAATAGAAAATAAAATGATATTTATTTTTAAGTGCATTCTACATTCAACACAACTGCATACTCACAACAAATCTATTGCGTTGCCCTGACATAGTTACTGCAAAGGTTTTTCCTTTGCTGTCCCAAGGGCCCAATTGATTTATCTGCCAGAAGCCTAAAGCCCAAAAATAAGATAGCTTTGAGTTTACAGAGGTCATTTTTCATTGTCTAAATAAAAATTTCTAAACAAAAATCTCTCATCCTGTTAACCGCAGGGTCCTTATCTCCCCAGAGGCTACAGCAACCTGAAAGAAGCCATTTCAATTCTTTCATGAAGAAAGATAAAAGCAAGTTTTCGATTAGAAAGCCAAGCAAAACCTTCTTATTAAATGGTGGTAACAGTAACTAGTTGAAAAGGCAAAACTGTTCTAGAATGGAATGGGGCGGGGGAGTAGGAAATTATTATGCATGAGACAAACCTTATGAAAAGATTGGGAAGACAATCAGAGACAGTGACATTGGAGGAGGCAAAAAGAAGTTTATGAATCCTTGTAACTTCTCACAGTTGTTTTACCCAAATCCTTAATAAACTGCCTAGCTTTATCAAGCATGTTTTCTTAATTGTGTGTGCCTACTTTTATCAACCAACATTAACTACATGTCACAATAATTATGCATTCAGGCCCATCTTCTCTGATCTGTCATCATTCAGAGTGCTTATGCAGCACAGGCAGAGGTGGAATGTGGCATGTTATCCAGCTTTAGAATAATAGATTTTGTGAGGCTAAGCCAAAAGGAAAATTATCAAAAATGACTTTACAGACTAAGTTTTGATAACGAAGATAAACACAGACACTAATGGTGATGCCCTGGGAAATAAAACAGCCATGAAAGAAAAAGATTCTGCTATTTGGAGAAGTCTGCAATAAGTGAAAGAGAATTAAAAAACATTGCTCATATTTTAACCTAATTCTTTCAGTATAATGTAGTAGTAGTAGAAATGAAATAATTTGGCGGTATGTTTTCATGAAAACATAAACTAGTTTATCCTCCAGTTAAAGAGCTGGGGTATCATTCTTAACATCTCTGAAAAAGAGACATGGTAGGGATTTGGGGGGAATACTTTAATTCAGTAAGCTTAATTTTTAAAGTCTTTTCGGTTTGTCCCATGAATGTATCTCCTATTAATTATTTAGGTTTTTATTAATTTTACATCTTTATATAAAGAGAGATACCCCCACATGAGAATAAACACTCTGGCATAAACTATAAAGAGTTGGGCTTTCCTTATCTGCCTGCTCTTACCCTAAGGTAGTATCTATGAATATAAATTTATTCCTCTCAGTCCAGGTATATATTTTGAAAAGCAACTGAATGTGCTCTTTATTCTGTACCACATAAAGAACATACTTTTCCTCCTTTCCCCCAAGAAAATATGAAAATAAGATTTCTACATATTGACTGTAAAATTTAATTGTCACAAAGCAGAGTTTATCCAATGAAACACTATCAGAAGGCATGGCTTCATATTAAATATTTTAATGCTAAAATTATTTTATCTGACAGGGAATATCTAAATTTTTTAAAAGTTTACTTTGCAAGGAATTCATCCTAGTGGATTCAGACAAAGGCCATGTTGCTCAAAACCAGATAAAATATGAGAATATAACATAAGGAATTTTTGTTTGTGCCTGTATGTATGTATATGTATGTGTTAATAATGCATTAATTGTGATGGCACTGTACTATGTTTTTGTTTTTGTCCTATAGTTATGATGGGTAAGTGGCAACAGTGGCTTTAAATATTTCTAGGTCAAAATTATCTTTACTGTTTCCTATAGGCTAAAACTTTGAAGCCTAATTTGTCACTAGCTCATGTGTTACAAAGGGATCCAGCATTGCCTCATAAGAAAACATGTGCCCACAAGGCCACCTTCAGGCAAAGTGTGATGGTTCTCTATCCAGTGATGAGTATTTATTATATGCCCCAAGTATTGCATATAGGGTACCAAACACAGGAGCAGTTTTACTGCTTCTTAAACATATGAATCTGCCCTCAACCAGAAATACAAAAGACTTCCTCCCTGGGCTTTCATCCAAGAGTAGAATGTTGATCTCTCAGATCTTGTATGCCCATCAAAATCTAAACTGTGTGAACTATAATGCTTGGGGAAAAAGAAACCCCCAAAACTGAAGGCCATTCTCTCTCTTATAAATTGTAACTTCTGCTTTGAATCAGAACGTTCCACAAGAGGGTATGATATATTGCATTTACTGGCCCCACACAAAATTGATGTCACTGAGTTGTGTATTGATGCCCCGATCCACTCTATAGAAGGATGCATACAACAAAGCAACTCCATAAAATTCCTATAAATAAAATTGCAGTTCACATAGCAAGGTTGCAGAAGAGGTTACACCCTGCATCATCTGATGTTCTTCATACATCAAGATTCACATAGGAAATGTCATTTAGAAATCAGTACTCAAAAAAATCTATGCTTCCCCTGAGAAACTATTAGAGCTTATCTTTGTGGATACTAAGCTTTAGAAAACCAAATTTATCTATTTTATTCCCATTTTTCCTGTATTACCCATCATTTCAACTATTTTTGGGAAACAGGGTGTGGCGTAAATAATAAAAGAAATGGTTAAAATGAATGAGCTCATATTACAAAAGTCCTACAGACTAACTAAAAGGAACACCTGACTCACATTGGCTTGAGCAGCACAGTCATGTTCTAGAGGGAGGTGGTCCATGGCTGGTGCTCAGCAGTGTCAGAAGGACCAGGTTTGCTCCACCTTTCTGCACTGCTTAGACTTTTTTTTTTTTTGGTCTCTGTGCTTGCTGACTCTTGGTTGTAAGATTGCTGCCACAACTCTGCATAATAAAACTATATTCAAAGATGCGATGAACAAGGAAGGACAGCACTAGCCACACCTGGGTCAGGAAGAAAGTATCACTAGATGCTCGCCCAGCAGACTTTTCCTCATGCCTCATTGGATGGATATAATGAGAACTTACGGCTCCCCTATTGCTGCAAGGGAAGCTGAGAAAGAGCATACTAGGCTTTCCAGAATTTACAGTAGGGGTGGCATGAGAAAGGGCAGTGGCATGAGAAAGGGCAGTGGTATGTGGCTGGTAGATTATCCAGAACAAAACAAAACAAAAATTATGCTCTGCCACAGTTATTGAGAAACCTCAAAGAAAGTTTCTAAATACTAGTCATTAAGTTCAAAAATAATAAATTATCATATGAGTATGGCAATATTATAAAATAGCTAAGAAAGTGGTAGAGTTTTGTATTCATAATCTGGATGGTTACTTTTAAAATGTGTTCATTGTGATGGCATCATACTATCATTAGGTGAGTTCTCAAGGCCCCAAATAACATGAAGTTTACTTTTAGGATAGTGAATGTAAATCCTGCATCAGAATGAGTTCTTAATAATGTCTAACCTTTTTGGCCAACTTCTTGTGAAACCTAATAGACCATCATTGTTTTTATACTGTATGAAGTGTGACAAAGAATAAAACATCCACTCTGCCTGTATCCTTTTTTGTACTATGTTCCTGCATTATTAGCATTATATTTAATTTGCCTTTTCTTAGCAAAAATCTTTTCAAGTCACTTATTCCTTACATAGGGGTTCATTTAAATGGGTAATATAATTCATAAATCCACTTACCTTGGCATGTAGAAACTGTAATACTTGACATTAAGATTAGTATGCATCAGGCATAATTCAAAAGGTTTTATTCATATTTTCTGATTTTGTCATCATAACAGCCAAACAAGACAAGCAATGTTAGTATCTCCATTTTATGGATAGAAAAAAGGCTTAATGTGGGTTTAGAGGTTACTCACCTAGTAAGTTGCTGAGCTTGAATTCAAAACCAGGTTGGTCTGATCCCAAAGTCTTCTTTCTTAATCACTCTACCAATACATCAGTTAATTGAGTAATCAATCAAAATTCAACCACGCACAGTTCTCCATGAAATGGAATTTTAAGGCACACTCAAGATCTAAGAAAAAGGAATTAAAACAAAACAAATACAATGTTATGGACTTATTGAAGGTAAATCTCTGGGGAAATTCAATGCAATTTTACATTTGTGTATAATGTAAGGTACAACAAAGGTTTATCTCTAGCATAATGGCTAGCATCAGAATGTTCTTAATCACTATAATTTATAAGAAAAAATGAACATATTATATGAAAGCTGAAAACCAAAGGAATATTCTAGTAAACATTCAACCAATAAGGAAATTCAATATTGCTGCAAGGGAAGCTAAGAAAGGGCTTTTATTTTAAGGCCCTATTCAGTTAATTAAAGACTTTACTATATATATATTGGAAAAATCATGTGATTTCTATCCCCAAATTTCCATGAATGCAGTGGTGACATAAACAACTGTGAACTTCCTATAAAGAAACAAATAAAGTAGCAAATTCAATGATCATCTGAGTATCTGCTGACATTCTCATTAGAATTCTTAAACGCAGGTGGCTCATGCCTGTAATCTCAGCACTTTGGGAGGCGGAGGCTGGCGGATCACGAGGTCAGAAGATCGAGACCATCCTGGCTAACACGGTGAAACTCCGTCTCTACAAAAAATACAAAAAATTAGCCAGGCGTGGTAGCGGACGCCTGTAGTCCCAGCTACTCGGGAGGCTGAGGCAGGAGAATGGCGTGAACCTGGGAGGCGGAGCTTGCTGTTAGCCGAGATCGCGCCACTGCACTCCAGCCTGGGCAACAAAGCGAGACTCCGTCTCAAAAAAAAAAAAAAAAAAAAAAAAAAAAGAATTCTTAAAAGCAGACACCATGCACATGTTGTGGGCCACCAGGTTAGTTCATACTTAATAGCAGTATATTGACTGTCACCAAACAGACCGCATTCTACACCATAATCCAGCTAAAGCATTGCACCATTTCCCCAAATTCTTAGGTTTTTTTGTTTTTGTTTTTGTTTTCCCCTCATGGATCTTATGCTGACAAATTTAAACTAGAATGTTTTTAAATGCATCTATTTGACCTTAAATTATGATTCCAAACACTATCAAGCTTTTTGTTCTAACTCAGATGTGGTAATTAAAAAATAATTACAATGCTACTATCTAATAAAATGAAATTTTCATCCAGTCTGCTGTTACATTTCATTTGAATCATTACAAACAATCATTTCATTTCCAGATCATGTTATTAAGAAATAGGTTGTTTGGTTCTTATCAGTCTCTTATTTTCTTCGAGAAATTAGGTATTTCCCCTGTTTTACCATCAATCTCTAAAGTGATAAAGTTTATTTCTAATTATTTAGATTTGGGTGCAGAATCTCATATAAATCGGGTTCAAACTTATTTGATGTAGGGAAAACAGTGAAAAAGTTCTCAGAAGCACGAACTGACGCTTGGGTATAGTTGTTACGGACTACAAAACACAGATGCTGTTTTACCCTCTTTTCCCCAAACCAGTCTATGTTTACGTTGAATCACTTCCTAGAGCTTGAGAAATCTTGTTTAGCTTTGTGTGTTAAATAGTTTTCCAGCTCAATGTCATCAATTTTTACGCCCAAACAAGTATGTGTCTCCTTCTTGAGGTTTGGTGGCATATATTGCCAAATCAATTACATTCAGAATCATGCATCCAGTCCTAATTTAGATAGATTTGAAATTTTATTTAAAGGTCTTTTATCCATGCTACTAGGAACACCGAATATGTGATCTGCCAGATGGCTTCACCTGCAGTCTCACTTCACACATGTAAAAGGGCTTGCCTGGTATAGAAAGTCCCCAAACAAGTAAACACAAGCATCTTTCTGAATATAAATAAAATTATCTTATATAAAAATAATCCTTTCAATTGAGATACTTGTATGTTCCTAAATTTTTGCCTGTATGAAGTTCAACGCACTCCACAATTTATTTGCCACCCTTCCCAGTTAAAACTATTAGTACACAAACAATAGAACTGGTCAGAATCTTATAGGGAAGTTTAATATGGTCTCTGTCTTCAAGAGAATAATAATAAATATACAATGTAATCTAATTTTGACATCCTTTCAAGTGTTCTGGGAATATAGTGATTTACATATGCTGTTAGGCCTGGAGGTTTTCAGGAAAGGATTCCCTGGAATAGGTGATGTTCTAGCTGAATCTTATGAGTTTAATTTGGCCAGGAAAAGGTGAAGAAAGCATCTAGTCAGAGAGAAGATCCCCAAGACAGGTATGCAGGATGGTCAGGAAACAACAACCAGATTTTTATGCCAGAATATAAGGCATGAGACATATTAGTGGGACCTGAGTCTGGAGACTGGATACAAGTGCCAGGTAAGGCCATTCTAAGAGGTTCAAAATGTACCATAGATCAAAAGGAGTCAACAAAGGGGTTTAAAAGGGAAATAGATGGGTTAGGTTTTAGGTCTGCATTTTTGAATTATTGCTTTAACTGCAATCATTGCCACAGGTTGACTAAGGAAGAAAAATGAGAGGTATGATCTCTCAGGGGGGAGGAGTTTCTCCTAATGAGATCTGCCTCCTCACATGCAGAGACCCTTGAATCTGTGAGTTCCTTGTGCACATCTAATTCTGGACTTGCATTCTACAGCTACTTTTTCCCTCCCCTTCATGAGTTAAGCCTCATGTACCATTCTCTTCCCTATACCCTGATTTAACTTCCTTAATTCTACTATTCTCTAAGACTCCAGTCAACTCCTATCAACTTCCTTCTCCTGGAGAAGAGAAATAAAAAGAAGCAAATAAATTGCATTCTTCAATGAAACAGGCTGCAAATGCATAATATTAATCATATGTTTACATATTTCACATACCAAACTATTCTAAAACCAAACAGCTACAGTGTGGCTCTATGTAATTAGTTTCCTTATATTTTATGTTTATCCAGTGATATATCCATTTTATGATAAAAATAATTTTCGTAGATACATATACAACACCAGCCAATGACATAAAGAATACAAGTAAAAGTTATATTCCAGGAAAAAATCAAATGATTAATTCCTAAGTGTTCAAGTAGAACATTAAAAGAGAAACAAATAGTACCATACACATAGGTATGTGTGTGTACATATATACACAACTATGGGAATAATTATTTTTCTATTTTAAGATATGTTGTTGAGCTTACTTGGTTGCTAGAAAATCTTTGTAAAAAGCACCCTGAAATAGCACCATGGAGACTTAAGACAAAAAAAAAAAAATTCCACTACTATATAGCTTTCCGTGTGGAAACCATAATGCTCTTGATAAAGACCATCATGTATTGGGACATATATGCTGTTTTCTACTATTTCTTTGATTAGCCCTCATTCTTGCTCTTCAGGGTTTCTATCATAATACAAGAAAATAAAATTTTAAGCCCAGAAGGATTTTTACAGTAATGCAAGCTATTGATCGGTGCATTTTTTTCAACCAAAGCTTACTATTGCGTCCAGATTCCTTACAGTTCCCATATGCCCAGCGGGTTAATATTAGGTAAGGTACAAGCTGTTAGAAAACTACTAGTACATTTTTTTTTCCACTCAGTGTTGCTACATATTTGAAGCTCCTATGGGGAAATAATGAAAACTTTATTTCTTTGTTTTATCCAAACCTCAGAGTTCAGATATGCTTTGAGTGAAAAAGGTCAGTCATAAAGTACTCATTCAAACCATGATTTTCCATTGTTGGTTAATGCTAAGTTTTTTGTTTGTTTGTTATTTTTTATTTTTATTTTTCATAATTTCAAGGTAGTTTTTCAGCCACATCCCCTGCCCTGCCTAACCCCTCTAGTAGTCCCAAGCATCTCCTCTTCCTATTTTTATGTCCATGTGTACTTGGTTGAAACATTTATTTTCAGGGTCATGATCATGCTTGTTGTCTCACACAGAATGACATCCTAAATAGCGACCTCCCCCACCACAGAAGACTAGGGGTAAACTATAGACATTGTTATGGTCTTCTCTAACTTAGCATCTTATCTTTCCACAATCTGCCCCTTCCAGTCTCTGCTTGAACCTTCTTCTTCTGACTTCTGGTCTCAGGTCCTTTGGCTATTACAGCTAGATGCATCCTATGCCTAATCTCTAGAGACTGGCCTTCATTCAAAGGCAACTTTAGGAAAAGCTTAAGCTTCAGGGGCCCTCCTTTGCACAGACCCCTTCCATGGCCCTGAGTGGGACCTAGCAATTTGCCCACAAAGTCTTTCTTTATAGTTATGTTGAAAATGTTACAATTTTTATGTTTGTTTGTTTGTTTCTCCCAAACAAGACTACCCCTCCCATATTTTATAAGCTTCAGGACCCACAAAACCCAGGATTACTTTTAACTTAAGAACTAAGCTGGCTTTTTGATTGAAGTTCTCCTTCCAGAGCTCTTTTCTCTCCATCTGCACCAGCTGGGTTCTACTCACTGAGGCCGGTAGGCATGTTCTGGCTTGGCCCCTCACTCTTCAAGACTTCTGGGATCACTGCCCTGCCAGGTTCAGCTCTGGGTCCTGCTTATCAGTGTAGCAAAATCAGTATAGGAGAATGAAGTACAGTAAATAGTAAAAAACAAAAATTGCCCTAAAAGCATATATGTGAATAAAATGCAAAATTCAGACCCCCAACATAGGATAGAAAACAGTTTATTTTCATCATCTGCTGCCAATTTTTCTGGGACTTATCCTAGAATCAGATGAAAACTGAGAAAAAGAAAACTTACTTTGAATGCCAAACATATCTAAATATCTCTGAGTGACAAGGTTTAGCCACAGATCTTGGGTCTTGAAAGTATGTTTGTTTCCACCTAAATGCCTGGCACCATCAAAGACTACAGAGCAAGTAGATGATGCTATGCATGTGGGGCTGTCCACCTGCAGAATGGCAGGTGGAAAATTATTCAGGAGAAGGAATTTAATTGGTGACCTTTAAAATAATGACTCATTACCTTAAAAGACTTTTATTATGTCAGCATGAGTACTTCAATTGAAATTAATATATTTAAATCAAAAACAGTAGGTCTTATTTAACCTATCTTTAACCAAAAAGTACATTTTAAATAATTTATTGTGATTCTTTACCTTCCCCCTTCCCTTTTCCTCCTTTTCCTTTCCTCTTTTCTTTGTTTCTTCCTTTCTCCTTCTTTTCTTTCTTCCTTCCTTCCTTCTTTCCCTCCCTCCATGAAACTCTCCTTTTGTTTCTTGGGCGGTTTCCATTTGCTCATTTGCAAATCAAATAGTAACTGCAGAGTAGATTCTAACTCTAAATAGTCAAAGCCCTTTCTCCATCTCCTGGATGCTACTGACCAAAGCGACTTCAGGATTAACTCTCCTAATCAGGCAAATGAGTCAGGCAGACCAGCATTCAATTTTTGATTTGGCTCCTATTAGCTGCTACATGAATTTACCTGGACATAGAAATGAGATAATACATGGAAAGCACCTAGTAATGATCTGGGCCCTTAACAAAAGTTAGTTAATTGCATTCTTCCTCACAGCTTACTACTTTTCTCCTAAATGACCCAAGAAGAGAAAAGTCATGGCATATACTATATGCCTAGCCCTTAGGCAGCCATTTCAGTTCTTATATTTGGCCTGCAATTTGCCCAAAAAGAATGACTGAGATGGTTGGAAGCTCATTAACCAATATGCTGAATGTATTATATGACCCATAAAAATTAGATTCCCACATGCTAACATGGATGTGAACCTAGTGCAAACATGTACAATCAGTCAGGTACTCTAGTATCAAGAAAATATGCAGCTGGGCAGAAGCTGTATTTACTAGGACATGCTTGTGATTTTCAAAGCAAAATTTTGCTACCAGTTTTCATTATATTCTGGACTATGTAACTTTTATGGCATACACATTTATAAATAAAAGCATGAGAGCCTCTAAATCACTGACTTAGGCTGAAATGATGCCTCTAGGGTTTGGGATTATAAAAAAATAAAAGGAGACCTAGCAGGGATCATAAGGCAATATCCTACAGGAAGCAAATTGATACCTGGGATTATAGTAGCAATTCCTTTCTGGCATTCATGAAGGAACATATTTTAGATAAACAAATAGGCAGAACATTTTGGATCTCTGTAAATAGATCTGAAAAGTCAGGCAAGAGCCTTTCCCTATATGGGTGCAAATGACATCATTCATAACCTTTTGAGCAACTGGTACATTTGGAAAAGCTGTAATTTGCAGATATGATATTAAAGTTGAACTAT
Organism: Homo sapiens; assembly: GCF_000001405.40. NCBI lineage: Eukaryota > Metazoa > Chordata > Mammalia > Primates > Hominidae > Homo > Homo sapiens. Next base: position 97,821,871 of record NC_000006.12, on the reverse strand, counting down.
TCACTCTATTTTACATTATAGTCCTATTGGCAGGACATGAGAAAGGCAATCTATGACTATATTTTTCATGATTTTTTATTTTAATAATATAACTTTACCTGTAATGCTTCCATATTAATGTAAATATATGTCTTTATGGACCTGAAAATAATAAATACTGATTTATGCCCATATCAGTCTTTTATTATAAATACCATGATTGCTTTTTTTTTCTAATAGATATACACACATAGGAAGTTAAGTGCCACACAGAAGAGATACTAAATCATAGTTATTTTCTATTTCTCAGTTACATATTCAACAAGTATCAGTGTGCAAAGTACTAAGGAAGGAGTTTGGAGGAGCTTGAAATAAAAAAGGACACATCGTGTTAATTTAGAACTAATAGGAGAGAGGAGGTGCTACACAAATGCTTATAATGCAAGAGGAAACTTAGTTTGCTCCATGAAAAATGGACAAACACTGGGCCATAGGATTGCAAAACAAGGCAGAAATATGCCCAAGACAACACAAAAAAGCTAAAAATGTCATTTAACTATTCCTAGAATTATAGACAGAATTTTGAAAAGAAAAATGTTGGTGAGATATAGTCTAAGAGCCTGGTTTTAGGTAAACTTGTGTTTGTTCCTATCAGATAAAACTATATGAATCTAAGAAATAGGATTAAATTCTAATAATTTACTTGACTTTAGAGCATATAAATTTCACCAATTATTTCTAATCTGATGAAAAGATCAAAGTATGTTAGAGATAAGAAACAATGTGAGCAAAAACAAAAAAACTACTAACTCTTTACTGGTTATTTTGTTTGAAGCTCAATGACTAGAGATGGAAGGATGGAGTAGCTTTACTGACATCTTCTGGGAAAACTCTATGGCATGTCCAGGGAACACTGTAGCTTCAAGTAAGACCACATATACTCTATCCTATTTCATGGAGCACTTATTTTAAAAGATATAAAAATCTGAAACATCAATAACAAAGTATTACATGTTGGTTATAGTTTCTTTTTAGTGCATTTTTTACATTTAGTTAACAATGAAAACATATTATTTTGATTTTATTTGAATATACATACATCTGGATAGCATATAGGATATAAATTGGTTGTGCTTGTTTGATAAAGTACATAAATTACTCTCCTTTGTTTTCATGCCATTCCCTTTCATTATTTATAGTTATGCTCAGCGAAGAGAACAAATAAATCGTATGACGACACCATACAAACCTCTGTTGGAAATATTACGTGTTGGCATACACTAATCCCTTTCAGAGGGTGAAGGCATTGCAAACAGCTCCTCATGCCCTGAGTTTCCACTGTGCACCTAGGGTCACTCCTGGGCATGTGTATAAAACAAATGTTACTACTGATGAAAAGCAAGCACTCAGGACCTGGAGAAAAGCACAGGGTAGGAGTGTTTGATACATGAGTAACGATAAACAAGAATTCTCACCTGCTTAAAAATTAGTTGCAGGCATTACTAAAACAACTTTCCCATCAACTAGACATATGCTAATAACTCCTGGGTTTGAAAAATTACCATGGGTCAGTACCAGGATATTTCACATTCTCGAAGGTAATAATTCAAGTATCAACGAATGCAAGATACATCTGACTATACTCCTTTGCATAAGCAGTGTAAAAATATTCAAAACCAACAGAAAAAAATGTATTTGTGTACTCGGTTTGAATAGAGTTAGTGAATCAGGACCATGCAAACGAAACTTAGGTGTGAAGGAAACACATCCAGAGAGAAAAGGAGCAAGATGAGCAAGGATTGCAGGAGGATGGGGGAAGGGGGGAGTTGAGGAGGACCAAGCAAATAGCCTCTTTTTACATTGAGATGGTTTTGAGAATAATAATGTGCTAGTTTCTTTCTTTCCTTTTTTTTAAATCCAAGTAGCTATTGAAGATTGTAATGATTTCATTCTAAAAAGCAATGCTGGAAAGGCTCTTCGGAGATTGCCAACTCCCACTGTGCAGAAACACTGTGTCCCTGCGTGCTGGTGTAATGGAGACAAACAAAAGAAACACTTCAAGAAAAGGGGAGGCAGAACAGGGAAGGCGAAAAAGCACAGAGAATGTGGTTCCCAGAGAAACAGTAAGAGTTTTAGCAATGACCAAAAGCAAGCATAACTACCCCCCAAGTTTGCAACTGATGAAAGTTAAATAAAAGGCTCAACAATTTAAGTAATATATTACATAATGATATTCTCAGTCAAAATAACAGTAACTTGTCATCAACCATAATGATCTAGTCCAACTTGCAGTGATACCCACTCCCCACTTTAAACTGGCCCAATTTGATTCAATCTTTTCAGGCGTCTATCTGGACTCCTATCAGAACCAATATATCTATGAAAGATTATTAGTTATGGAAATGTGTTGCTCTGTTGCTTCAGTCTGCCTGCATCTCTACCATTCTTTTCCTTTCTTTCGGCAAGATCAATGTTTTCAGAATCAACATATATAACTACACAACGAAAACATCCTAATTAGGATGAAACTCCTTAGTTACTTCAGTTCCTATAAAGATTTAAACAGAGTTTATTACTTCCAGATTCTGACCATTATAAAAAGGTCAATAATAATTACTGTTTATTTGCTTTCAAATGCTCTTAATGTGAAAGTTTTCGAGACGGTGAAAACTAGTATTCATAGAAAAACTCATAGTCAACTTTTAGGACAGAAGATTTAAGTTCGTTTTCCATTTCAAATAATTTTAATTACAATGTGTCCATTTTTAACCTACTGAAAGGAAAAGGAGTAAGTTTGCTTAATGCCATTATTTCCATACCAGGAATTGATGCTTCTTTGATATTCGTTATATATCTTTGCATTCTAAACCAACTTATAATCTCTGTGTTATTCATCTTTCTATACGGTTTATCTGAGGCTTATCTGAGGGATTTTTTTTTTATTGTTTGGTATGAGTACATTTTGTAAATGGTGCAATGCAAAAAAAAAGGCATCTGTTTCTTGTAGCTAGCAACTCACACTCTGATAAAAGAATTGCACTGAATCTTTTTGATGGAAGATCCTCATATTTCTATTCAGAAAGCAAATCACCAAATCTGAAAACTTTGAGGAAAGGCATTTCAGGCAATAAAATGGGGAAAACATGGTAGCCAAATCCACCATACCACAAATGTTGCCAAAATTATTTTTAAGCTCCCCAATTCTGAGAACAAGGATCTTAAACCTTATTTAAGTTTTTGGGTTTTTTTTTTAAGAGACATGATCTTGATTATGTTAGCATATTTTCACTGTGTTACAAAGCCTATTTCTAAAAGTTATCAACAAATAGAACTTTTATTAATTATTATATAAAAATATTTTACTAAAGGGCACAAAATTTGGTTGAATAAAACTCTTTCATATAGGTCACTTACATAATAGCTGTTTAAAATACACTTAATAACAGAGTAGCTATTAAATATAGCTGCTATATGAAAGGAGAGTAACAAAGAACAATATAGGAATTCTGTTCTCCCTGAGAGTCGCTATTTATGATTATTGAATAAAGAAAATCTTTTTTGCTTAAAATGATTCAAGAACATGAAAGACCTAGCTGTTAACAGGCATATCCATTTTTACACACTACACTCAAATGTTTCATTTTGATATCTCTTGTCCTTTTTGATTTAATTATTTAGTAGTAGTACTAGCATATCATACATAATAAAATAGTTATTATTACATAATAGGGAATATTTATGGAACATTTATCATGTTCTATACACTGTTATAAGAGCTTTAAATATACTGACATATCTAATTCTCACAACTTAAGAGATGTATTTTATTATCCCAATTATTCAGATGAAAGGTTAAATAACTTGCCCAAAAGCAATTGCATTTTAACCAGAAGCCCGAATTAAACCTAGGCAGTCTGACTTGTGTATAACACTTCTAGTATTGATAACTCAGTGCTTTCAATGCCTCAATATATATTCATTTGAATATATTCCAATTGCATTGAATTTTTTTTACAGTATCTCCAAGCAGTAAAAAAAAAAAAAAAATATATATATATATATATGATTTACTAATCAAATTGTAATACACCATTCAGAGGAAATACCATGATTATCACACGTGTATGTCCATTCTCTAGAAAATAAGGCTTTAAAAGGTAGGCTGTAGAAAGAAAGGCAAAAGCACCTCTGACTGACTTCAAGAAAGGGGAGAAAAAGATGGAGGCCACCCCAAACTCCAAGGAAGGACAACAGATTTCAGCTATTTCCTTTCTTTTCCTTTTATTTCATCAACATTAACAGGGTTAGAAGAGATTACTGTTTGTGTTATCCTTGTTACCTACTTCTTATTTTTAAAAAGGGAAGTAAGTGAAAAGGAAGTGTTGGTCAATTAAATGTTTGTTGATTATGGTGCATGGGCTTTTATTTTCCTCTTTCCTTGCAAGAGAAAGACAATTATTTTTTCTAGAATACCATTTTTTAAGAAAATACTTTAATAGCAAACGCTGTCTCTTTTCTTTCATTATGATGCTTAACAAGAAAATCTAGGCAGGTGGTCACTCATCCCCAGCTCAGAAGTGGGTTGTGGGTAAACAATTAGTAGATCAGCCTGAAGAAACAACTTTGCTAACAGGAGGGAACTCCAGATGATGATGGCCTATGGTGGTCTAACCCTCACAAGTAAGTCATCTGCCTATGGCCGTTCATACCTGGAACTGAGTTTCTATTTACATCTAGGTTAGAAGCAGTGGAATTAGAAGTAAAGCAACCAGGACGGTGACACACAAAGTTGAAAAGACACAAGTTGTGTCCTCTAGAAGCTCACAACCTAGGGAATGAGTGAGTAGCAGAGACTGAGAGAGTTTACTATGAGAAGCTTTAAGGTATTGTACAAGTTATTAGGGAGGATAATGCCACATAATCCACGAAGGGGCAAGGACCGAGGCAGTGTAATCAAGAAGGCTTCACAGAAGAGATGACTTGTTTCTGGGTCTTGCAGAAGGTTTTGTCGTCAAGCCAACCCAAGAAAACAGGGAGAGGAATATGCAGAGATGAAAAACATTTCTTGCCAGAAGAAAAATAAAACAATCCAATCAATTTCACTTGTGCAGAAATCAGCCCTTAGAAACTACTTACAAACTCCAGCAGAGCAGAAGGTTTCTCATCCATTTCCAGCAAGTTTGTAATCCCACATGGGGCTCTCCTCATTCATTTACCGAGAGTATGAATATGGGGCAGTAGTGGTGAAATCACCCAGCAATGATTTTAACCCCTCAGCCTTCCTTCATTTAGTCACAGCACCTTCCTCCCATTTTGCTACTCCTCTGTTTGGAGTTCTGTTCAGCAGGGTGCTTGTGGCTTTAAAAATGCAAAATGTTTGCCAAAAGGAACAGTTTTGCCATGTAGCAAATGTTCATACTGTGTAATGCTAATTTATGTCCTTTCCTATAGTTATACAGGTTGCTATGTGCAATGAATTAAACATTAATGAAAATTATTTGATGATGCTATTAGGGAATATATTGAGGAAATAGATGTTTGAATGCAGGTGTTGCCACTCTAATGTGGTAACATTTTTTTTTTCCAAAAATGGAAAAGCCACAGAAATGAAAGCATTTGGAAAATGCAACTATTGAAAAACTTAGCACGAGGAATTTTCTGTTCCTTAATCTAGGTACTAGATACATGGATGTGTACTATTTGAAAAAATTCAGCAGCTTTCAACTTATGATAGGTATACTTATATATTAATATGTTTAAGAAACTTTAGCATCAACAATGAAATATTTAATACATTCACAATGCAGAAATATAATCATAGTTTTTGGTTCCAAATCTAAAATAAAAGCACCAGATAAATAGGAGAAAACCCTTCTCCACACAGGAATAGATTGTTTCAACTCTTGAAGAAATGGAATCAAACATAGTAGGTATTCTGGCTATATGATATTCCAGGGAAATTTGCCCAATATATATACTTATGAATGAAGTATGAAATACTATTTTTTAACTTTTATTTTAGCTCAATATGTTGCTGCTTTTGTTTGTACCTTTGTGTTTCTTTCTGTGTAAGAGAAGTGAACTGCCCTAGAGGCTGACAGATAGTTTATGTGGCATTTAACAATAGAGAGGGAGGTTCCGTCAGACAAAAGTGGCGATGAGCTGACTGACTTCATGGAATACTACAGGTGGGGAAATTACCTTGATGCTTTCTACTTGTGCTGATTTTTCCTTTTGCTGACACTTCTGATGCTCTGAAGGTTGCTTTGCTCACATCCTCTGCTACTGGTGTCAAAGCACACTCTCAATCTTCACATGCCAAGAGAGGAGGAAAACCTTATTTCAATGCCCAAAAGACTTAGCTCCTGTCAAAGATATTCATTTAACACTCACAGTTGGTCTATGGCAACTTGAAGATGTTGTCTTAAAGTGTAGGGCTGGTAGGGGGTGGGGTGGAGAGGAAAAGGCCTGGTTTTCTAAGGAAACCTTGTGCTTTCCACATCCTGAAGGCAAGTAATAAATGAAAAGTGCATTTTCACCTGTTATTTAGAAGATCTAAGCTTCTTCAGGAGGAGGAGGTGGTAGCCAGAACAATAAGGCCATTTCAATTGACTAAGAAAAAAGACTTTTCAACAGAATAAAGTGTATTACTCGCAAAGCTTTCTCCTATGATTGTCACACAATCTAATTTCTTATTTAGTCTTAGCCAGTTGCAGCTAATACATTTCATAAAAAAAATTATTGCCAGAGTTAATTGCAAGCTTACAATTTTCTTAATGTGTTAAGTGCTACAAATAGCATACCAAAAACATGGTCATTCCTAAATATGTATGGCACTTTATCCTAATCTATATGAAATAGGCACATGAAACTCCAAGTTATTTATAAAAAGGTAATCAAATATTTTAGTAAAGAGTTGCTATCTGGCTAAATTATAGACAGATGACAAGCCATCCTATTTACTCTGACCACATACACATTCATAACGTATGTTCATTTCAGGTCACTTTTTCATCTTCCTCCACCCCTACTCCAACCCCAATATTCTTTATGATCATCTTGTTTGTACCGTTGCAAAACCTATCCCAGAACATAGTGAAGTATGCAAACTTCGTTCATTGAGTCCTTTTTTCTTTCCTTAGACTATTTTTAAAAACTGCATATTTTACACAATAAATCCTAATTCAGCCAATACCAGTTCATTCAAATAGCATCTGAATTTTAAAATTGGCTTCTTTTCAGACAATTAGTCGGGGTGCCAATTTCCCAGTCAAATAAAATCATTTTCCCATTAACATTTTTGGTTATATAATCTGCTATACAAATATAATACTATTAAAACTCAATGTGCAAATTAAGTCCCTAGAATATCTCAGTTGCTAATTTGGTCAGATAACTCCAAGCATACATTTTGCTGTCATTTAAATTGGAGATTTTTCTGCTGGCTGATTGCTTTCCAAGGGTGAGAATGTGGCTGAAGAGCCCAGTGCATGTCTCAGATTTTCCACACTTCATACACATGGAAGCTGTCTTTGGGCTGGGACTCTCTCCTCTGTCTGTAGAGCATATTGTACTTGCAGCCCTGCCTTTCCTCCTTGTAGGCTGCCAGACACATTTGCCCAAAAAGAGTCACTCAGTCTTTGATTTTTTGCATGTAAGTTTGGCCTGTCTGATGTTGTTTGCACAGCCATGCCACATTGTTAGAAGTTGTGATTCAATGTGTCCTTGGAGCCTTTCTTTTGCCAGCCCTGCCTACTCCTACTCACAATGCCCCCATTTCGGCTCACTGTTGAGCAGCTGACTCAGGGCCTTAAAGTGAACCATCCCCCAGGTTTGCCCAGTTCCCATGCTTGCTGCTGTGCTGATCTTCGCTTCAGTTATAGGCCCAGCTGGGGGCACACTTTTAGTAATCCTGCTTTCCCATTTATGTCACATATGTCTTGCAGGTGATGCGGGAAGCTGCCTGCGACATCTGTGACAGATCCAGACCTCCCAACCATATGGAAGGTTGGACAGTACCAAACATTTGATTGGATCCAGAGTTTGGTGCCACATTTGACTGCCAACCTCCTAAAAGGCACACAGGCCGTCTTGAGTAGGTTTCCATTTCTTTGTTTCCCAGAGCTGCAATTCAGAGTTGTTTGATTTCCAACCAGATCAGTAATACAACACCATTATCACCTACAGGTTAAAGATGAAGGCTCTGTGGTATCAGACAAACTGAGACATAAATCCTGTTTATAATACTCTGGGGCACTGCTCTTAGATAAATTACTTGATCTCTTTAAGTTGAAGTTTCCTTATTTGTAAAATTATGATGGTAATTGTTTCTATTTCATGGAGTTAATAAAAGATAAAATTATGAGAGTATCTTATGTTTGTAAATAGTTTAATACACACATGTAAATAGTTTAATACACACAAAATATACACAAGAACTCAATAAATGTTAGCTACTAGAATACGTATGATAAAACTGGGTTCTTTAGGCACTACTATAGCATACATGACTTGCAAAAGTTGTATGTTATATTTATTTGATTAGCTCTAAGTTTATTGATTTTATTGTAACTTTCATTGAATCTGTCTTGGAGAATGTCAAAAGGTAAGTCTCCAATTCTTGCCTCAGTCTCTAGACCAAGTAAAATATTTCAGTCCATTTCATACTTCCTTCCAAAAAAGCATTAACATTAATGCTTCTTCCACCCTATGAAGGAAGACAGGAATGTCTTGAATGTCAGGAATGTCTTGAATGTCTCAATTCAACAAGAGTTCTTGAAGTCACCTGGACTTCTGCTCACTGCTGGTCTTTCCCTTGTTTCTGTCTTTCTGCTACTCACTTCAGAAAATTGCAGTATAGAATTGGTTACCCAGACCCTCATTCAGTTTCAGGTGTTTGACCTTTGAGTCTAGTTAATTAAACCATTATCTTTAGTTCTGTTTCCCACACTGACTTGTCACTGTGATATCATCTAACCTCACAATATCCTCTAGCAGGAGAAATGAAAGAGATCTTAACAGGCATCTTGTCTTCCATGGAATAAATCCATTTCTGCCTTTTGAAGAGTCTGCTGAAAGACTTCTGCTGAAGAAGACCTTACTTGCTTAGTTGAAAATCCTTTCCAACTGATAAATCACTGCCCTTTATACAATCAGAGACTGCCTACTTGGCAGTCTACTATATTATATTGCTTACTATGAACAGAATACATCTTTGCATGCCTGATCTTCAAAATATTGAAAACAACTATAATGGTATCCTTAAATTTCACCTTTTCTAATTTAAGCATACTCAATTCTATCATTCTTCATGATTTCTAGCCCTCTCCCCATAGAAATAGTCATCTTTAATTAGTTCTTAATTAATTATAGTTTATATATGAACTGTAATTTATTTTGTAGAAATAAATTGTTCCTTAAATGAGCACAGCAAAGCAACACAGGAATTGAGAAAATTTTTTGTTGTTGTTCATAAAACATTTTACCAAAGGCAGTGGTCCTATTCCTCTTCTTGCCCTAACTTGCCCTAAATTTTGCTCCCCAGGGCTCTTTTTTAAAATGAGTTTTCTATGAAGATTATAATTTTTTGTACTAGTTTTGGCATTGCTTTCAGAAATATGTTATGTATTTGAACTCATTCTTGGTTCTAAACTCCTTATACCACCTCTTGTGTCGATATGCTTTCCAGGTGTGGGTAACACATGGAGCTGCACACTAGTAGCATGCCACATCTCTTGCCTTTCTCACTACAGCTTTTTAAAATTATAAATCAAAATTCCTTTTTTAACCCTCCATCATTTTCTAACTATATTCATCTTAAGAGTCCCTGAACATGGAATTATACCCATATTTCTCTGAACTCTGAAATCTACTGACTGAAATTATATGGTGATCATATTTGGCTATGCATTTATGTAACTATTTAAAATTCTAACATAAAAATATTATTTTCTCAAAAGGTTAACATCACTTCTACTTTATGTACAAGTTCTTGTACAAAACAGTAGAATTTATCACACTGCTTCCTTACCTTTATGAGAAATTATGAGAGTGAAAACACATCAAATGTATTTTAGACTACTGGTATATAACAAATAGTGCTGTTCTTCATCACTGCCTCTGCCTTTGGACCAGTCTTATTATTGATAATAGGAAAATTTAAAGCACACTTTCCTTCTGATCAGGCTGTCAAATTAAATGCCGATAACTGCTTCACTTCTGTTTCTCTCTCAAATAATTTCTACTTACTTCCTTCATTTAGACCTGTGGATTCACACACACATAGACAAGCATACTCTCTCACCATGAAAAACTACAAATTAGATTTTTTTGTAAACAAGTTTCAGTGATCTACTTAATCATTAAATAATCTGATCAATTTCAGCGATACCAAGACTGTTATTGCTTTTTCTTTAGCATTTTACATTTATTTTTAAAATACGGTTAATTATTACATATGTGTGTATGTGCATTTGTATATATGTAACTTATGTGTATTGTTTTCTCCTTAGAATTACTGGGTACTTTCTTTTTTTTTTTTAATTTTTTGTAAAGATGAGGTGTCTCTATGTTGCCCGGGCTGGTCTCAAACTCCTGGGCTCAAGAAATCCTCCCACCTCTGCCTCCCAAATCACTTGGATTACAGGCATGCACCACTGTACGTGGCCATATTAGGTACTTTCTTGACACAGTTTTATAGTTTTTACTAGTTTACCATACAACTAGTTTATTCTTGCTTCCATGACTTCATTATTCTATGTATGTTGCTTTTATTAAACTGAGTAGTATCCAGTTTCTTTCAATTTTGATTGAAATTATTATTCTTTTTCAAATGTTACTTTATATTCTTATTGAATCTACTTCAAAATATACTCTTCCTGATGTCTCAGAACTCTGTCACCTATCAGGTGGCAAATCATCTGCAACTGTCAGCCACAGAGCACAAAAATAATAATTATAGTTTTTTCTTTCTTGAAAACTAGTATATTATCCTTATCTACCCCAAATCAAGGTCTTATACTGAAAGAAGAGATGAAAACACCACTTATGTCCTCAAAGCATTCTGTTTCCTTCCCAAGAAGACATATTGCATGATTCTTCTTCCAGATTTGTTCAATTATTTAACAAATCTTTACTAAGTGCCCTCTCTGTGTCAGCCATTCTCCTATCTAGACAGGCAGGTGAATCTGTTATAATAGGAAGAACAAGTCACCTAGTCAACAAACTGCATTGACATGTTGTGCATAATTCACAGACAGGACTTCAAATCTGAAACCAAATCCTACTTGGGATAGTCAGATCCCTTCAGTTTTTACAAATGGCCTATGCTTCAATTCAGCCTACAGAATTTTCTCTGGAATGTGTTGGAACTATTGTTATACATGATCAGAAAGATGTATTCAAACTCTCCATCCATTCCATTTGGGTTGTTTAGCCATTTACATTTAATATGAAAACCAATATGATTGGGTTTAATGTAACATCTTGCTTTTTATTTTCTATTTGTTACATCTGTTTTTATTCCCTATTTCTTTTGTTACTTTTGTTTGACTATGTTTTATCATCTCATTTTGTCTATACTATTTGCAAAATATTTTGCAAAGTATTTTGTCTATACTATTGGAAAATTAGCTATACCTCTTTTGAAAAGTGGTTGCCCTAGGGTTGAAAATATGCATACTTCAGAGTGTTCCTTTCAATATTTTACAACTTTTTAAATAACTTAAAACTCTTACAAGTGTATATTTCCATTTCTACTCTTTTCATTTGTCTACTGTTAGCATGCATTTTTGCACCCAATACACTGTCATTACTTTTTTCTTTTGAAAACTCCATTATATTTTTAAACATTTTAAATGAGAAAAAAGACTATTTCATTACTTATTTATTTACTATTCCCAGGGCTCTTCATTGCTTTCTATAGATTCAACTTTCTAGTTGTCTGTCATTTTCTGCCTGAAAAACGTCCTTTTGCATGTTGTGTAGTGCAGGTCTGCTGGTGATGAATTCTCTCATCTTTCACTTGCCTGAAAAAAATATTCTTTTGCTTTTGAAAGACACTTTTAATAGGCATACAAGTTGATAGTTTGTTTTTTTTTTCTCCTCGCATTTTTAATATATCATTCCACGGTTTTTGGCTTCTTTAAGTTTATAACAATTCTTACTGTTTTTCTATAATCTTTCTTTGGTTGCTTCATCACAGATTGTCAGCAGTTTGATGATGACATTCATTGGCATGGTTTTCATTAGACTTACCTTGCTTGAAGTTTGTTGCATGTTTTAATATGTGGATTTATATCTTCTTAAATCAAATTTGAAATATTTTTAGTAATTACTTTTTCAAATATTTTTCTGTTCCTCTTTCATTCTAGAAATCCAATTGCACTTATGTTAGACTACTTTATAATGTCTCACAAGTTACTGAGCCCTCATTGATTTTGTTTTGTCTATTCTTTGTTTTGTCTATTATTGGGTACTTTCTATTGCTGCGCCATTAAGTTCACTGACTTTTGTTTTCCTTCAGTCTCTAATATGTTAATGCCATCCTGAAAGTTTTGGTTCAGATTTTATATTTTTTCTTTCTAGTCATTCTTTTTGGTTCTTTAATATTGTGCAGATCGCTTGCTTCTTCTCATGTCTAGCAATTTGATAACACATACCATAAGTTTTATATTATTGAGTGCTGGATTTTGTTTTATTCTCTTTAAGTATTTTAGATGTTGTTCTAAAAGGCAGTTAAGTTATGTGTGACCTAGTTTGATCATTTTAAAACTTCATTTATTTATATTTTAGAGTGGATCTCAGCCCACCATATTTCAACACAATGATTTCAATAATGTTACTTTATGCTAGCTAATGGGAATTTTAACAATTCACATCCTTTTATGAGGTCTAAAACAATTTTGGCTTAACATTTCTCAGCAAATTTTTGTCCTTAGAATTTGTTTTTTTTTTTTTTTTTTTTAATCAGGCTTATGTAGTTTTACCTTATGCATGCACAGGTTTGTACAGGACCATATTGATTTCTGAAGTTCTTTCTTGACAGCTTTTAACTCTCTCATACTTTGCACTGTAAACTGCAGCAATCTCAGCCTCCCCACTCACCACTGTCTCTCAGGGATCATGATTCGGTACCCATTTTCTAATCTCTGAAAACAGTTGTCTTATGTATTTTTTCTGGTTTTCCAGTTATTTAAGGCAAGAGCATAAATTCAGACCTGACTACGAGTCTTAATAATTGTTACTGATCTATCTTCCAGTTCATTAGTTCTATTTTCAGCTATGTATATATGCTGTTAAAAACCTTCTATTGAGTTATTATAGCTCCAGAATATTGATGTTATTCTATTTATTGATTCCATTTTGTGTGAAGTAGTCCAGAGAGTTTTTTTCTTGAGAGTATTACTCAAAGATACCTTAAAATTCAATATCTCAATTTTAGCATTTCATCATCTGTGGACCTCTTTCTTTCGGTTATTTCTTTCTTTCTGGGATTTTGTTAATTTGTTCCTGTCTCCTAGCATGCATGGTAATTTTTCTAAATTGAAATTTAAATACAGAGTATGATGACTTAAAAGCTCTGGAAGACATTATAATATTTTCTTCAAGCGGGCCATTTGAGTAGGACAGATCATCTTTGTCTTATTAGGAATCAAGATGATTTGAGACTGGGTTTCAAAATTTGTGAAACCTTTCTCCTAGAACATTACCCTTCTGGGTTCTCAAGTTCTAGAGTTTTGAGGGGATCCCTCCTTCTTTTCAGGACTTAACCTCCTATTTTTGTCTCCCCAGCACTGTAAAATTACAGACAAGAAAAAAAACAATTTTTAAAAATGCTTATTCTCCTTGATTTCAAAGCTTTCTGCCTTATGAAGTTTAGAAATCTGAAAATTCCTCAACAGAAGGTGTTACTGAATATCAATTTCACCTCAATATCTTTTCCTTTTCCTTTTTTTTTTTTTTTTTTTTTTTTTTTTACAGAGTCTCACTCTGTCTCCAGAGTGCAGTGGCGCAATCCTGGCTCACTGCAATCTCTGCCTCGTGGGTTCAAGGAATTCTCCGGCCTCAGCCTCCTGAGAGGCTGGGACTAAAGGGGTATGACACCACGCCCAGTTAATTTTTGTATTTTTAGTAGAGACAGGGTTTCACCATGTTGGCCAGGATGGTCTCGATCTCCTAACCTCGTGATCCATCCGCCTTGGCCTCCCAAAGTGCTGGGATTACAGGCATGAGCCACAGCACCCGGCCTATTTTCCTTTTTATTAAGACTTTAGCCTTTCACGACCTGACTCTTTTGGTTTCTCTACAATGCCTTTAAGCAGCTACTTTTTGCATCATGAGCTTTTATTTCATTCTCCATGCAAAGCTTATTGTTGTAACAGGATTTGTTATTATATCTCAAGAAAAAAAAAACAGCATATGTTTTATAGCCTTTTAGACTATAAGATAACTATTTTTACATATGACATATCTATTACTTAGATTATTAGTTTCTTATAGTCAAAGACTCTGACTCATTATCTTTGGTTGTTCAGGGACTGAACAATTATTAATGTTTTGGTTGCACTTCTTATTCCCACTCCAGACTCCACACATACAAAAAAAGTCCTGTCTTCATACTTCTCTTCTGAACTCCTGCATACATCTCTACTTGCTATTTTCCGATTGCTAGTATCATCCTTCTCTTCTATCCCATGATATGTCCCTGATCTACTTAAAACACTGTTTTAAAATACTTTAGGAAGTTTTTTATTTCCTGGCCCTAAACAACTGTGATCAGAGCATAATCTATCATACTATCAGACCTCAGCAAACATATTCTTAATGTTCTGTGCCAAATCAAATGCTTTAAGTGAAGTCAGTACTGTATTCTCTTCCTCAGACAGACTTTGAGTCCCTTGACAGGAGAAGCTATCCCTTAACATCTACTCCCTTACTGATGTGAGTTCAGCACCATGTACACAACAGAGGTTTGATACATGTGGATTTGGTTATCTGTAAACCTCGAAAAGGAGACTCAATTATTTTTTAGTTGAGTGGGCATAACATGCTTCTCATTTGGCTCTGATTTCCAAACCATTATAATCAGAAAACATGGATATTCAATTAAAGCAATGCCTTCCAGCCCATGACACACGCTTGAAAACTTACTGTGCCACTGAGGAATTCATTAAAAAATATTGCTAACTATTTTGAAAAGACATATTGCACATCATTCAATATTTAAATCCAAAGTATTAGGTCAGAAACAACAGAAAGAAAAGTTAATACTCTTCTGAGGATGCAAAAATAGAAATGCATTTGCATTTGTTAATATAAAACTCCTTATTTTTATCACCTTGAGTTTGTTCTAGAAAACATTCAATAATCTAGGTTATCATTTTCAACATGTTTATCAATAAAGAAAGAATCCTGTCTTTCAATACTTTACCATAACATAGTTAAGAAAAATTCACCAATAATTTAAGCAAAATGGAGACTTTCCAATCACTTAATCTTACCATGAACGCTTGCATTTATTTTCCTATCCCTAGAATCCGTTCTCTAGCCGGAAGATATCTACCTTTTAATACAACTTGTTGGTAATCTCTGAGGGAAAGTAATATCCAAAAATGTTAGTCTTTATGTCTAAGTATTTTTAAGCATTGAAATTCACAGTAAATAAACCTTTAATCAGCAATAACACTTAAGAAACATTAAAGTACACACATGGAGAGTAAAATATCAGCATCACTCTCACACCATATGTAAATACTGGTTGAAGCAATTCCTACTACTTCACTTAACAATCAGAATGTTCCGGATCTACTGAAATTCTACCTTTTATATATTAGAATAAAAACATATGGATTTTTAAAAAATTACATTTGTTTTTAAAGATTAGCAAATATGCCCTTTCTGACTGTCACTTTTATCTAATTCAGCATTATTTTCCAAGTATAAATCAAAAAATAACAAAAATAAAAGATGAAAACACCTGCACAAAAGAGTGTTCAGTCCAACTAGTAGACAAAAAGAGAGAAAGAAAAAGGAAAAAAAAAGTAAACATGGCACAGTAGGAGAATAAAGCTTCTGGGGAAAGAAAGCAAAGCTGTGTGACAGATGGAAAGGTCTCAATGGATGAATGGTACTACTACAAATAAGTAGCAGGCAGCCAGAGGGAATCAAATAATGATTATGGAAGAAAAATGAGGGTTAAAAAAGATGAAAAGAATGTTTTGACTCAAGCTAAAGATTCTATGTTAATAAAATTTCCTATTTTTAAAATATATTTAATTATACATCCACAAAAGATAGAAAATAATTCATGTCAAATAGGGTAGACAGCTGACAAGTGAACCAGTAGGGACAATGTAAAAAGCTCAACATGTCCTTGGAGAGGAAGGAATGCATTCCACAATTTGTACTGGCATGCCCCCAAACCTGAACAGATTACTTTCTGACGATCAATATCTGTAACCACCAGAGGCCTGTTAGAGAGTTTTTAAAAAATCAGCTTCAAAGAGACTTGGTCCCCAGCTTACATTTTATTTTTGCCAGTGGGTGCTGAGGTAAGAGTTTTGGACAAGGCTCATTTTTCTTCTCTTTATAGGGCTGTGAATTGAATATGAAGCGACCTAACATGTTCTCAGGCTCTAGTCAGCCAGATTCTGGCCCTGTTTATAGATGCTGTAAAAGAGGACCAGCCTGCCTTACCAACTTGAAATCAGCCTGTATACAATCAACTCATGATAAAAGCTGGCCACACTTTAGCTGGGTTTCCAATCGTAGATGTTGATTCCTCAATCTGATTTTAGCCTGAGGCCAAGTATAAGTGGAGTGTTTTTTTTAATTAAGTGGTGTTACAGTTACTTTACTTGAAAACCTAGAACACTTTCTTTCTTCCTATTTATGTAATATGCTTAAATATTGGCGAATCGAAGCATTAGTTTTCTTAACATCTTTCTGCCCTTAATGAAATAATTAAAAATCTATTTCTAACAGTACAGCAAATTAAAAACAAACAACAAACAAAACTCATAATTACCCTGTTTTACCAAGTGTAAAACACTTACTAAAATCTAGAACAACTTTTTCCAAAATATATTCTGCAGCACTGTCATTTGAGATCTACTCCTATTAAAAAAATTTGCACCATGTTATATTTGGGCATTCTATACATTCTACCCTCCTCTCAGCAACTAAAAAGAGAAACAATCAAGTAAATTTGAGAGGTCTCAAAACAAATGAAACTATTTAGCTTTGTTTAGTCAAGATTTTCTCAAATTCATTTGAATCAGAAGCTATTTAAAATTCTGCAGAACTTTAAGGTACACATAGCTGGAGTTGTTTGCCAAGATTCTACCTTAAGCTTCATTCATTTGATAATTTCCCCTTGGCTAAAATAATTTTTTCTAAGTATTGAAGATGAATAGTACTCCAGAGAAGGCAGAGAATGAGATTTCTCCTACATCTCATTTAATAGCCACAATCTGCCTATCTGAACAGAAGTTCACAAGATAGAGTATAACGGAGAGGGAAGAGAAAAGCCTCCCTTATTGTAAAGCTGCATCTTACTTGACTCTGCTCAATGCTTCTCCACCTCCAAGTAACAGTATTATTAAAAGCAAACTCAAGGATGATGGATGAAAAGAACAATTGTAGCCTTTAACCACAGAGCTCTAACATTTCAACATTGTTGGTAAGTATAGAGAGTAACGAAATTATTGAAGACTTAAATACGTGGATTAGGAAAGGTTCTGAAATGAGTTGCTGGAGAAATTTCAAAATGGAAAGCTGATTAATGCACAAAATGTAAATGAACTCATAACCAATAAACAAAAGTATGTAATATCTGGATTGTGATACTTAAAGTAGGTAAATAATGAATCTGAGAGGCTCCATATTTAAAATAAATAAAATGGCAACATTTTATAAATTTTAAATTATTTATCCTTTATCTTTTATGTCACTATTCCTAGTAGATGTTGTCTAAAATTTTAGGCAAATAAAGCAAATTACTAGAACATTAAATATGATATTTCATACTTGAACATTCCTAATGCAAATTATCATAATAAAGGTTCTCAAAAGGCCTGCAATGCAGAAGGTATTTAAGTTTTGCTTAATTGAATTTTTCTCCAACCTAACTGACTGAAGACCCAAGTTTACATAGTAAATCTATTAATATCACAGGGCTTACTTTGGGAAATAATTACTACTGTTTCTTATAACAGATTATGTTCATAAAGCTATGAAAATGTAGAAAAGTTTATAATGCTTGCGAGAGTGATGGGTGATAATATATTAAAGCAGTATTTCTCAAAGTGTGATCTAGGAAGTCCTAGGCATCCCTAAGATACTTTCAGAGGATCCATGAGTTCAAAGATCTTTTAATAATACTAAAATGTCATTTTCCCTTTCACCTTCATTGTCTCACAGATGTACAGAGAAATGGTCTAGAGCCCGTAAAACATGTAATAATGTCATCACTCTGACTGATAACGAAAAGAGTACTTGGATATTTTGTATTTTTAAAACCTTTAGTTTTGATTTCTAATACAAATAAGTATTGCTAGATATAACCTACATTAACAAAAGCTTTTTGGAGTGCTCAATACATTTTAAGGGTTAAAGGGGGTCCTAAAACCCAAAAGTTTGAGAACACTATTTGAAAGTAAACACAGGTTTGGGTGCTATTTTAAAATGGTGGGGAGCCTACCACGGAGTCTGAAAGTTTGCTTTCAAAGGTTACCTCTTGGGATTTTAATAGCCTTTGGATCAATGAAAGAATCGTTTCTATGTATGGTAAACTTCAGCATTTCCAATATGACAATAAATTATATTTTTGCAGAATTTAAAAAGTATTGGTATGAGCAAAAAGAGAAATGCATTTTAGCTAGCTTTTTCTTTAGTATTTTATTTTGTGTCAGGCACTAAGCTGGATAAATCTGAATGAACTAGTTTGTACTCTGACCTTTTGGTGATAAAATGTCTATGACCTTAATTACAGGTACAAAAATGTGTAACTGAGTCTAAACCTATAGTTCTTAAAAATAACAATTTACTGATGGGTATGGTGGCATACACATTTAGTCCCAGCTTCAGCTAAAGCAGAAGGATCACTTGAACCCAGGTGTTAGAGGCCAGCCTGGACATCACAGCGGAATCCTCATCTGCAATAATAATAATAATGATAATAATAATAATTTGATGAAAATAATTAATTACTTTTAAAAATAACAAATTTAAATGATGAATAAGAAAGCACCATAAAACAGACTGATTTGTCTTATATAATTTATCATTCTAGTCTGACTGGAGATGGTTTAGTAAGCTTTTTTGTATGTTTTTATTGTCCATTATTCTCAAACAACCTGCTTCATGGCATGAATCCCTCGTGGCTACATCCTCCTTTTAGACTAGTCATTTACTTGATGAAAATTAGATTAGAAAGAAGCTGTTCTACTAAGACTACCGTCTACAAATTTCTTAAACATATATCTGATAAATAAAGTCCATGTTTAAGAATTATCAGACAACCTGTGTAAAGCCATAGAAAGAGTAGTATCACATAAGAATTCTATTGGCTATATTAACATTGAGAGATCATTCATTTGAAAAACATTAAGTAAGTATGCTCTTGTATGCCAGGCACTAGGCTAGATTCTGAAAACATATTGATAATGCACATGATCAAGGGTCCTGCTATCTTTAGGTTTTAATTGAGAACATACACACAAAATTAAGTTTCAGGGTCATGCTACACTATTACCTGAACAGGTAGTATCTAATATTGGGACATGAGAGTAATATTCCCTCTAAATATGACATCTAATTGAGACATGAAGCATTATGAGGAGTTATTGTGGCATAAAACATGGTGAAGAGTGTTTAAATGCCAATAAGTCAAGGGAAGCATGGTATATTCAAAGAACTGACAGAAGTAACAATAGCAGGATTATGGAGTATGTGTGAAGGCAGGGGTGGGGGCTGAAAAAAAGGTAGACTTAAGGAAAAATCTCACCCTGCAGGTCGTGTTAAGGAAGTTGGATTTCATTCTGAGAGCAATTAAAGTCATTGAAAGGTTTTAAGTAATATAGTAGCATTATCAAGTTTGGGTTTCAGAACAATCACTCTGGCTACTTTTTGGAGAATAATTATGAAGAGGGCAAGATTGGAGGCAAATGAAACAATTAGAAGAGACAAAAGTCATACGACCTAAACTGAGATAAGAATGGAGATGAAAGGACGACTTTAAGATTCACTCACAATGTTGAATCAATAAAAATTAGTGGTGGATATTAAAGGGAGAGGAAAAATTAAAGAACAACAGGCATGTTTTGGACTTGGGCCTTTGAGAAAGGAAAATAGGTAGCAGAATATCTAAAGAAAAAGATGAAGAGCTGAGTTTTGGATATACTGAGTTTGAAGTGACTCTCAGAAATGCAGAAATGCTCAATATAGGCAATTGAACATTCAGATGTAGAACTAAGAAAAGATGCTCAAATCTGCAACTAAGAAATGTGGGCATCACTGGCATGGGAATAGTAAGCAGTGGAAGTATTTGAGATCTCTATGGGAAACAGAGTGTGGGGTGAAAATAGGAGAGGGCCCACTACTGAGCTTACAGTACACCAATATAGTAATTGATTATATGATAATAATTTTCTTTTTTTTATCATTTCAGCTTTATTTTATATTACATCAAAATTACATTTCTGAAATTTCTGGAGACCATAAAACATTCGCTTTCAAAAAATTACCCTCGTTGCCTATAGTATCTTCTCCATAGGCATATTTTACCTGTGTTTTATGATTTCTTTTTTTTTATTATTATACTTTAAGTTTTAGGGTACATGTGCACAAAGTGCAGGTTTGTTACATATGTATACATGTGCCATGTTGGTGTGCTGCACCCATTAACTCGTCATTTAACATTAGGTATATCTCCTAATGCTATCCCTCCCACCTCCCCCCACCCCACAACAGGCCCTGGTGTATGATGCTCCCCTTCCTGTGTCCATGTATTCTCATTGTTCAATTCCCACCTATGAGTGAGAACATGCGGTGTTTGGTTGTTTTTTTTTTTTTTTTTTTTTGAGATGGAGTCTCGCTCTTGCCCAGGCTGGAGTGCAGTGGCAGCATCTCGGCTCACTGCAGGCTCCATCCCCTGGGGTTCACGCCATTCTCCTGCCTCAGCCTCCCGAGTAGCTGGGACTACAGGCGCCCGCCACCTCACCCAGCTAATTGTTTGTATTTTTAGTAGAGACGGGCTTTCACTGTGTTAGCCAGGATGGTCTCGATCTCCTGACCTTGTGATCTGCCCGCCTTGGCCTCCCAAAGTGCTGGGATTACAGGCGTGAGCCACACCGCCCGGCCTTGTTTTTTTTCCTTGCGATAGTTTGCTGAGAATGATGGTTTCCAGCTTCATCCATGTCCCTACAAAGGACATGAACTCATCATTTTTTATGGCTGCATACTATTCCATGGTGTATATGTGCCACATTTTCTTAATCCAGTCTATCATTGTTGGACATTTGGGTTGGTTCCAAGTCTTTGCTATTGTGAATAGTGCCGCAATAAACATACGTGCGCATGTGTCTTTACAGCAGCATGATTTATAATCCTTTGTGTATATAACCAGTAATGGGATGGCTGGGTCAAATGGTATTTCTAGTTCTAGATCCTTGAGGAATCGCCACACTGACTTCCACAATGGTTGAACCAGTTTGTAGTCCCACCAAGAGTGTAAAAGTGTTCCTATTTCTCCACATCCTCTCCAGCACCTGTTGTTTCCTGGCTTTTTAATGATTGCCATTCTAACTGGTGTGAGATGGTATCTCATTGCGGTTTTGATTTGCATTTCTCTGATGGCCAGTGATGATGAGCATTTTTTCATGTGTCTTTTGGCTGCATAAATATCTTCTTTTGAGAATTGTCTGTTCATATCCTTTGCCCACTTGTTGATGGGGTTATTTGTTTTTTTCTTGTAAATTTGTTTGAGTTCATTGTAGATTCTGGATATTAGCCCTTTGTCAGATGAGTAGATTGCAAAAATTTCCCCCATTCTGTAGGTTGCCTATTCATTCTGATGGTAGTTTCTTTTGCTGTGCAGAAGCTCTTTAGTTTAATTAGATCCCATTTGTCAATTTTGGCTTTTGTTGCCATTGCTTTTGGTGTTTTAGTCATGAAGTCCTTGCCCATGCCTATGTCCTGAATGGTATTGCCTAGGTTTTCTTCTAGGGTTTTTATGGTTTTAGGTCTAACATTTAAGTCTTTAATCCATCTTGAATTAATTTTTGTATAAGGTGTAAGGAAGGGATCCAGTTTCAGCTTTCTACATATGGCTAGTCAGTTTTCCCAGCACCATTTATTAAATAGGGAATCCTTTCCCCATTTCTTATTTCTGTCAGGTTTGTCAAAGATCAGATAGTTGTAGATATGTGACATTATTTCTGAGGGCTTTGTTCTGTTCCATTGGTCTATATCTCTGTTGTGGTACCAGTACCATGCTGTTGTGGTTACTTTAGCCTTGTATTATAGTTTGAAGTCAGGTAGTGTGATGCCTCCAGTTTTGTTTTTTGGCTTAGGATTGACTTGGCAATGAGGGCTCTTTTCTGGTTCCACATGAACTTTAAAGTAGTTTTTTCCAATTCTGTGAAGAATGTCATTGGTAGCTTGATGGGGATGGCATTGAATCTATAAATTACCTTGGGCAGTATGGCCATTTTCACGATATTGATTCATCCTACCCATGAGCATGGTATGTTCTTCCATTTGTTTGTATCCTCTTTTATTTCGTTGAGCAGTGGTTTGTAGTTCTCCTTGAAGAGGTCCTACAAATACCTTGTAAGTTGGATTCCTAGGTATTTTATTCTCTTTGGAGCAACTGTGAATGGGAGTTCACTCATGGTTTGGCTCTCTGTTTGTCTGTTATTCGTGTATAGGAATGCTTGTGATTTTTGCACATTGATTTTGTATCCTGAGACTTTGCTGAAGTTGATTATCAGCTTAAGGAGATTTTGGGCTGAGACAATGGGGTTTTCTAGGTATACAATCATTTCATCTGCAAACAGGGACAATTTGACTTCCTCTTTTCCTAATTGAATACCTTTATTTCCTTCTCCTGCCTGATTGCCCTGGCCAGAACTTCCAACACTATGTTAAACAGGAGTGGTGAGAGAGGGTATCCCTGTCTTGTGCCAGTTTTGAAAGGGAATGCTTCCAGTTTTTGCCCATTTAGTATGACATTGGCTGTGGGTCTGTCATAAATAGCTCTTATTATTTTGAGATACGTCCCATCAATACCTAATTTATTGAGAGTTTTTAGCACAAAGGGGCTGCTGAATTTTGTCAAAGGCCTTTTCTGCATCTATTGAGATAATCATGTGGTTTTTGTTGTTGGTTCTGTTTATATGCTGGATTACGTTTATTGATTTGCATATGTTGAACCAGCCTTGCATCCCAGGGATGAAGCCCACTTGATCATGGTGGATAAGCTTTTTGATGTGCTGCTGGATTCAGTTTGCCAGTATTTTATTGAGGATTTTTGCATTGATGTTCATCGGGGATATTGGTCTACAATTCTCTTTTTTTGCTGTGTCTCTGCCAGGCTTTGGTATCAGGTTGATGCTGGCCTCATAAAATGAGTTAGAGAGGATTCCCTCTTTTTGTATTGATTGGAATAGTTTCAGAAGGAATGGTACCAGCTCCTCCTTGTACCTCTGGTAGAATTCGGCTGTGAATCTGTCTGGTCCTGGACTTTTTTTGGTTGGTAAGCTATTAATTATTGCCTCAATTTCAGAGCCTGTTATTGGTCTATTCAGAGATTCAACTTCTTCCTGGTTTA